>NC_000001.11:245729576-245881091 GCF_000001405.40 Homo sapiens | reverse complement strand
ATTTTTATAATGAACAAATGTAGAAGAATCATTTCATAGGGGCCTATAAGCCCAGGATGGGAAGGGCCCTTAGAGGCCCGCCTACCCAGGGCAAGTATCTCCTGGACAGTGTGTGCCCTGGGTGGGTATCCGTACTCAATGTGAACTTTTTTAGTGCTGATCTCAGCACACTCTTTTTGAGCACAATGTTCCACTCTTGGGCAACTGTGATTGTAAAGTTAATTAATCTCATGAACTAAAAGCTGCCTCTTTCCACTTACATCAGGGTCTTAGTTCTGCCCCTTGGAACAATAAAGAGCAAATAGGTTTCTTGTCCCACCTACCAGTCTTCAAGTACTTGAATATTTGAGGCAGTGTGGTGTAGCAGAGAGCACTCAGGTTTCTGAATTATACAACTGGGAGTTCAAGTCCTTCTCCACCACTTTGTAGCTACTTGAACTTGAGGAGGTTAACCTGTCTTTCTCAGCTGCAGTCTTGTCTTCTATAAGGATTGGACTGGTTTTTACCTGATACTTCGTTGAAATGATTAAATAAGATACAGTGTTTAAAGTAATTAGCACAATAAACCCTCAGTAAATGTTGTTGTTGTTATTTGGCCTGCAGTTGGCCATCTCTGAAACTCACCTATATCTATAAAATAAGGAAAATGATTCCTACCAAGGAGTGATTCAAGGCTGACATCAGTTAATCCTAAGATATAGTTGGTTGTTCAGCCAGCCAGCCAGGAACCTATATATACTTTCTCATCCTAACCAGATAGCCTTATCTTACCCCCAGAATATTATGAAGATATTAACAAATCCTGGTTGAAATCGAACAATATGGTGTTAATAATATTTGCCCCATATACTTGTATAATCTCCATGGAATTAAATGAGTTCAGATTGGCAGGATTTGTTCTTGGTGCTGCAGCTGCAAGAACAGCATTCACTAGAGACAGCAGCGGTGTGCATGGCAACTGTGCTATCTCTAGTGTGTACAGCAACGCACCTGTGCTATCTCTGGCGTGTACAGCAACGCACCTGTGCTATCTCTGGCGTGTACAGCAACGCACCTGTGCTATCTCTGGTGTGTACAGCAACGCACCTGTGCTATCTCTGGTGTGTACAGCAACGCACCTGTGCTATCTCTGGTGTGTACAGCAACGCACCTGTGCTATCTCTGGTGTGTACAGCAACGCACCTGTGCTGTCTCTAGGGTACACCATGTTTTAAAATTCTTAATAAGCATTGGTCAAAGATAGACATTGACTTATTTGCTTGAAGACTTCCATTACAGAGTTTTATTTTTATTTTCTTGAGACCATATTTGCCGCCACTCTGGTCTTCTGCTGCCATTCCCTTTCTCTCAGTTCTTCAGAGTGGAGTAAGAATAGTTTCATGACCATATTTTCCAAGTTCTTTCACTGTCCTGGAATATAGTTCAGCTGGAATTAAAGATGGGAACTTTTCTAAGATTCCTATTCTGCTCTCTCCTGATGAAGAATAACTTCTTTGGGGAGAAAGGAAAAACCCTAAGAATTGAGTAGCTTTCTGTGATCTCTTGATGTTTCTCACACGCTTGAAGCAGCGACTCTGTCTCTTCCATGCTTTCTCGTTGCTCAGAGAGCACTGAAGCGTTTCTCATCACCTCGGTTACTCAGCGTTGTCCTCTTACACTCTTCGTCTCCATCGCAGTGTTCTGCTGCCTACTCCCCATCTCTTCTGTAACAGCACAGCTCATGTGCATTTAGCGGTTACTGCGAGCCAGTTGCTATGCACAGCACTTTGCATATTATCTCATTTAGCCCTTAGGCCCACCCTATGAGGTAGGTCATCTAGTCCTATTGGGAAATGCTTATCAGCTGTTTGTGAGCAGTGTGCTCAGATGTTGTTCTAGAACGTGAACCTTGTACAGACTAGAAATGCATAAAGCAAATGGGAACCTAAGCGACTGTCAAGCATTTTCAGACTCATAGTTTCCAATAGTTTAATGACTACCGTGCCCTCATTATCAAGATTATAGCTGCACTGAAAATGGAAATGGGGAGATGGGCAAGCGGTTCTCAGATGTGTTAACATGAAACCTAGATTAAAGAAATAACACTGCTCTTCCTGGAGGCCAAACAAATACAAATTGGTTTCATGGGCTAAACTGTAGTTGGAGAAAAGGGGCATTACTCTTTTGAAAATCTTAGCATAGGCAGCTTCCCTTCTTTCTCTGCCGGAACCCATGTTTGTTTACACTCACAAGCTCAACGCCCTCTTCCTGCCATCCCTGCGTTGTCCCTCTCCAACCCTCCAACTGCTGATGACATCAACAGTATATTCCTGCAGTTCAGGCCCCTGTAATGCAATGGGGCTGTGAAAGTCACAGGATCCTGCAGACAGGTGCTGGGGCTGCTTCTGGCCTTCCCTCAGCTGGGCTTCCTCCTTGCCAAGTTGTCCTCAGCTGGCCCCTTTTTACCCATTCTCTATAGCACTCCCAGACCCTCACTACTGCTCCATCCTCCTAAGCCTCTGCTGTCTCTTGATTTCAGTAGATAGGGAAAAAGAGTCCATCAGACATAAAGCCCATCTCAACTTCCCACCCTGCTGACTTCCAGATGCAACTCTATCTGCACCCATTCTGTCTCTTCCTGTTAGAGGAAATGGGGACCTCCTTGCCAAAGCCGAGTCCCCACCACCCGCTTCTACCACCTGTGCTCTTGACCCTACCCTCTGCCTCCTCGTGGACCTCGCCCCCCTTGCTGCCCCATCTGTTGGGGTCTGCCTTTCCGTGTCCACTGACTCCTTCCCTGTGGCATAAACGTGCCCACACTTTCCCGTTATAAGAAACAAACTCTTTTTCCAGCTCAGCTCTTGCCTCTAACCATTGTTTCCTGTTTAATCTGTGAAACCCCTTGAGTCATCTGCACACTTAATGACCCTGTTTGTTTTCTCTTAACTCCCACAATAGGAGTTATCACTCCCCAAAGCACGCTCTCTCTGATGTCATCGGTGAGCCCCTGATTTCAAATCCATTGACCTCCTTTGAGTCTCTTCCCCATTGATGCCATTGTTGAGTTCCACACCACCTGTCCCTTCCTTCCTCCTCCTGGGAACACTCTCCTTTCGTTTCCGTGCCCTCCTTTACTTCTCCGCTTTGCCCCTGAGATTCTTGGGCCCCGTTGGATTGGGTGATTTCCTCTGTCGCATATCTTCAGATTCCACCTGCGTGGCGTTGACTTCCAAGTCGACACTTCTCACTTTCACTTGTCTTCTGGGTCTAGTTTCATATTTCCCGCTTCCTAGGGGTAACTGTACCTGGATTCTCTGCAGACATCTTATATTAGCATGTCCAAAAGCGAACGTCCCTTTCCTAAACACCTTTCTACATTCCCCATCTCACCGGAAGGCTTCGCCATGCACTCAGCCACTGAAGCCAGATGCATGGCCGTTGTCCTGGAATCCTCTACTCTCCACAGACTTACTCCCAGGTTATCATCTTGTTACACTCTCTTGAATTGTTCCTTTTCTCTTCAGTCTCTCTCTTCCTCTCTCACTGTTGCTAAGGCACGGCCTTATTCAGATTCATGTCATCTCTTTCTGGATTGTTGAAACATCTACCTAACACCTTCCGCCTTCAGTCCCTCCCACCTGCAAGTGTATTTTCCACGTAAATATTTGAAAAACATAGAGATTATACTTAAAATCTCCCCATGTCTCCATGTTGCCCATGCAGGATCAAATTCATTCTTTGATCTGACCCCTTCCCTACCTCTCTACCTCATATCTAAACCTTTATCTCCACCCCTTTCCCCCGATGAACCGTTTAATTCAGCTTTATGTTTTTGGGTCTGTGGGCTCATTCTGAAGTAGCCCTTCAGCTTAGTGGGGAAAAGAGCCTCTAAGGAAAAGCAGCCTCTGAACAGCAAGTAACTGCAGACCTAGTAGGGCAGCAGAGGGCCGGGGAGCTGCCCCGTCTCCGCAGCGCCGCCCTGCCATGCATGAGTGAACCAGAAGCACCCAACAGCGTGGCCTCCCCAAGGACCTCTTTCTCTTCTCTGCTACTGGCCTTCCTGCTTGTCTCTCCTTGTCTAATGCTTCCATAGCCTCCAAGCCTGAACTCATGCATCCTCTTCTCCGGGACATTTTCCCTAAATCCCGGCCAGGCAGAGGGCTCTGCCTCTGTGCTCCCATAGCCTCCAAGCCTGCACTCATGCATCCTCTTCTCCAGGACATTTTCCCTAAATCCTGGCCAGGCAGAGGGCTCTGCCTCTATGCTCCCATAGCCCCAGGGCTTACCTCTCTGTTATCACGTGCGGTATTTAGAAATGATACATTTGTTTGGCCGTTTCAACCACTGGAATGTAAGCTGAGGCCACATCTCAGCTGTGTCTTCTCAGATCCAGTACCTGGCCCTGGAGTGCACTGGGGAGATGTTGTCATATATTGAGCTAAAGAGCACCTGAAGGGCATGAGATTTATTCCCCGTAGTGCCACAGACTTGGTCACTTTTGTGTCTATTGTAAATAAACTATTTGTGCAAAAGCAGAGAACATGGGAGACAGAACTGTAGATTGAGCAGACAAGAAAAAAGAAAAGCAAAACCATCAATACTTGCAGCAAGTCTTAACCATGTCGGCACGAAGAGTGACAGCATGATCGCAGAGATTCGGAGCAATGGCTGAGGCGGCAAAGGCCACGCTGATGGTCCTTGGCCCAGACTGTGCATTGGAATCACCTGGGGAGCTTAGAAAAGATACCGGTATCTGCCTGCCCCCAAGAGATGCTGATATCATTTGCCTCGATGGAACCCGGTCTGTATTCTTAACAGCTCCTGAGGTGATTCTAAGTATATACCCACCTTACCTTACTAGGCCCTTACAGCAAAGAGGAGAGACAAAGCTGGAGGAACAACAGGTCTGCAGTTTGAGGGAAAGTCGGAGCCCTCAGTATCCCTTAAAGCATATTCCTGGGATGTGTGTGTATGTGGGCATGTCTGTGGGTATCTGTGTGTTTGCACACTCTTGGTAGCATAGGGGAGGAAGTAAGCTCTCTGCAGCCCTCTGGAGTGAATTAAAGCCTCTGATACATATTTTAAAAAGCACATCCAGAGCTATCCAGCTTCCACTGGTGATGAAGACCTGGGACTTTCTCATATTAAGTCCTCTGAATGAAGGTCTGGGTACCCCTTGTTCTTGCACAGAGCAAGAGGGATTTGTAAGTTTGTTTACCTCCGGAAAAGAAATCCTTGCGTATTTTAGTTGGTAAGCATTTACAAACCTTAAAATCTTACTTTCAGAGTAGTCTCAAAAGTTAAATGGAAAGTAAAACAGAAATGGTAAAGGCAAACAGCTAGGGCTGTGTAATTTTGGCCCACAATGAGTATGACCCAAAATGAAAACAAAAACTAATCAAAAGGTAATCATTTCCTAAATCTTCTGTGACTGGCATCGTAGCATTCCCTTGGGCAAGAGGAAGAATATTAGGGGTATGAGAAGCATTATATCATCTTGTATACTCAAAAAGCCATTTTGAACATCCAAATTTGAGGAACTTCATCAGATATCAATATAAAGATGATACCTATACTGCTGGGGACAGATTTGAGGTTTGATGTTGCCCACATGCCAGGTTCTAATGGAAGATGTGCACGACTCAGGCGGCTCAGTGAGCAGTTCTCTGGTAGTAGGAGTATTCTGAGTATATAGTTGAATATCTATTTCCAGCTCTCCCCACAATTTCCAGCATGTTCTGAGTGAAATCACTTGCCCCTCCCTGTACCTCCTTTCCTTCCTGTGCAGTAGGGACCTGTCTGATCGTCATCTGCTAATGTTTATGAAGCTCCGTCAGACCTTTGTCTGGAAGACTCTGTTAACAGTAATGCATGCTTGGTTTATGAGACGGTTACAAGAGAATGGAGGTGGAGGCAGGGTGCCAAACATGGCCAGTACTTTTATCTTTGACATTACAAAGAGGTCCTCTGGCTGAGAGCCAGCCTGGAGTTTACTGGAATCAAAAATGCAGACATGTGCTTTCTGTTGGCGTGCCAGGAAGCGGCTCGCCGTGCCGTCAGCCAGCACTTCACTTCCATGGCTGCAGAGCTGCTTGCAGGAGCGTCTAAGTCCTGGTGATTTTGTGTAGTCTGTCTCATGGATACGAGGTGAGGCACAAAAGAGCTGTACCATGGAATCTGGTCACCCCTCTCTCCTCCCAAACTTTACAAAGTAGTGTTCTCCTCACCAGACCTTTAGGCCAAGTGACTGCCCTCTGGGGTGACCCACCCTCCAGCTTCAAGGGACAGATCTCTGTATGGATTGATTCACAGACTACAGACTTTTCTTTTTTTGTTTTAGAATAATTGGAGGAACACTGGCTTTTTTTCCAGTGAGATACAAAATACAATTCTAGAATTTTTTTTTAAAGGCTGAGAGATTAAAGTAATTTCTTTCCCTCGAACAGCGACATGTTTCTTTTGAACTTTTGGCTTGTGTGACACATGGTCTAAGGATTTCAGTGCTGCCTTATGAAGTGTTTGTAGAACGGGATAATTTCTGCAGCCCAACTCTGAAGACTTAGGGGACGCTATGGAACCCTCCATTAACTGATGTTAAGAGAGAGGTTCTAATGTCAAAATAAATCATTTCTTTAGATGACCCGTAAGATTGCCTCCTAAAAAGCTATGTCTAGACTTGTGTCTCAGGGACTTGTTATGTGAAGCTGTCATTGTGGACCCCAGCTAAACTATTCCTTTAATTCAGAACCACAGATTAGATAATCTGATGTGCTCGCTTTAGCAGATAAGCAAATACCATGTTTACCCAAGCTTGGAATATTGCCTGTTATAATCATTATACATACAAATGTTAGAGGGAATGTGTGAATTAAATAACCATTGTCAAATTCTTGGTTTGGCAGAAGGTAGTACCATGTTGAGTGTTGTCTTCAGTCCTGTAGACTCTCTGTGCTATGGCTGGGGTTGTTTATACTTGAGAAAACTCAGTTTAAAATAGAATGAAGGAGGGACAAATCAGAACAAAGGCATTTACAATTTGTTGCACAATCACAAACCCCAGCAACCTTCCTATCAGAATTTCAGGTCTGTTTTCATGGACAACATATACTTTACACATAGGCGACTAATGGAGTGGAAGGATTAGTTTCCATGTCAGTGGTAACCCTAATGTAGTTCTCACCTGGGCAAGCGGAGCCAGGAGGCACTGTTAGACTCTAGGCCTCACAGCTGGCCAGTGGCAGAGCTGGTACCAGGGCCCGGCCTCCTTAGTTCCACTTCCGTAGTGCTGCCTGTCACACAGTCTTACATGCCAACAGCACAGAACCCAAATCAAGCTATCATTCATCCCATGTCTGAATGTCTCTGGAGTGGCCACATCTAGGTTATCCTATAACCTTCGCCTTCGGGACACTGCCCTTTAAACCTCACTTGAATCTGTTCTGCGGCAGCTTAAAGCATTTTTATCTCTGTTGGCAGAGGAGAATGAGAGCATCTGTCCTCAAAGAAGAAAATACAAAAGATGGAGATGTGGCCGATTAAAGGAGATGAGGGCTGCAGCTTTGGTCTTCATTAAGACAAAACTCACCCTGAACTTTGGAGGTGTACTTTATCTTAATGGCTATTGTCAGGAGAACAATTTTCCTGTAAAATCTTTGCATTTTTCCCAGAATCTCAAACCTCCCACCTGGTAGCGTTTACACAACAGTATTGGCAGGACTTGGGTAGGAGTTGTGAGTATGGGCTTACAGCAGCCTAAGCCATCCATTTGGTAGTCTCTCTACAGATGTGAAAAGAATTTGTCTGAATGTGCATTTGCAAGTGGAGCTCATAGCCCTCTGTGTCATCTAATCCCCATTATATGTTATTACATCAGGAACATACCTTTCCAGTATGGGGGGAGGGTGCAAGCAAGTGTCTCCTTCCTAAATGTATTCATGTGTGTTTAACTGCCTTGTATATCAGCCCATCATGCTAGTTTTCTACAAAATGCTTTTCTACAGAAGGCTCATTTTTAGCAAGCACCACTGACAAGAGGTAGGCTCTCAAACTGCCCTCAACGTGTAGATGCTGTTTTTATTCTCTCCAGGTTGACTTGATTTTATATAAGCAAATAAGCTTATTTCTCTGAGAAGCAGTTTTATTCACTGGGATGGGAACAACCCCACACAGAGGGAGGGGAGGTGTTGAGGCTGTAGCCGGAAAAGGCCTTTGGTGGTTCTAGAAGTTCTGACTTCATACCTTCAAGGCTGTGCTCCGTTTCCCAGAAGCTATGAAGGGAATATCCCCTTCCTTCTGGCAATTCTGTGTAGCTGGAGATTGAACCTTGAAATCGCAGTTGGTTTGAATGTGTGGTTTGTGGAAATTTGTAGTTGCAGGAGAGCCCTGTTTCTGCCTGAGATCTAAAGCTAAATGGGCATTTGGCAAATGCTGGCAGCGACGGTGGGAATGTAAAGTGAAATGGAACAGAGCTGCCAGTGGCTTCAGCTGTTTGATGACTTCTTCTCCTCACCACGAGCATTTTTGTTTGGATTGGGCTCACAGCCCCTGGTTGCCCAAGTGCTCCTCAGTTGGATCCAAGGGAGTGACGGGGCTGCCCGACGGGAGAAGGCTCTCTCATCTGAGAAGAGGACATCCATCCTGGGGTCGGCCAGCTCAGGGAGGCCGGTGAAGGAGAAGGCGGCAGGAACTCTGGGCTCTCTCATCTGAGAAGAGGACATCCATCCTGGGGTCGGCCAGCTCAGGAGATGGGTGAAGCAGCAGGAGGCGGGAACTTTGGGCTCTTGCGAGGATGCAAGCAGCTGCTTGGACTCACAATTCAGAGCCCTGCTACATCCTGCTTGTGGACATCTGTTAAAGGCACTGAGATCCCACAATTTCATGAAATAGATGAAAAAATAACCTTTTAAAGCCAATTTTACTTCACCTGTGGGCTGATGACAGCATCTGGAAGACATGCTTTTCATCTGCATCACAGTTACGCTCATTGCCGCCAGGCAGTAGAGCAAGCATCATGAAAGCCAGTGGGAAGTGCACAGGGATTGTGCCTGTGGATGTCAGAGGCTGTTTGGTGTGGTTTGTGGTGGATCAGAGAAGTTTGCTTGGATGACTACGTTGAGGAAGAGCCTTCCCGGCAAAGGGAATGGGATGTGCAGAGATGTGGGGTCACAGCATAGTTGGTTGTTGATTACATTGTAATGTGCTCCCTCCTCCACCATTTTTTTCTTTCCCACCAAACAAAGCTGACTCTAGTCAGCCTCCTGTTGGTCCCCGCCCTGTAGGGTGGGGATTGAAAACTCAGGCCACTGTGACATTTAGGACGTAAGTAACTCTAGAGGGTGCAGAGGAAAAGATGAGAAGGTGCATCTCCTTAGAGAATCGTTACCACTGAAGAAATTGGGCCTCTGGAAGGTTGAAGGACTTGCCAAGACTACACAGCTCGGCAGCAGGGATATGCAGCAGGGATTCAGTTCCACATCTTATGGCTCCAAGCCCGGCATTCTTTTTCACTAATTTCTGTTAATCGTTGTGTACATTTGCTGATTAATTGCTAATTAGAACATACTACAATTTGATCGTGCTTCAACCTGAGAACATTCCTTCCTTTTCCTTATTCCCCAGCCTATAATGTCCACTGACTGGTCTGTAGTTGATATAACAGTGAATGCTCTATTTTTAGCCACTATTTTTCCGCTTTATGAAAGAGCCACTTTTCCCCTCAAGTTACATCTGAACTGCTTTCAGTTGTTTTTGTCAAAGGAGGTGGAAATTGGTTCCAGCACAGATGTCTCCTTTTAATCATAAAGGTTTTGAATGATGTTGTATATTAATCTAGTCCCAGTATATTGCCCCAACCAGACTACCTCAGTCAAAGACACTGCAAATTACCTCAGAATTTTTAATTTCAAGACTTTCCAATCTCTCTCTTGAGTGCAGACACTGTATTTGAACCTCATTCTACTTTAAAAACTAAAACTAAAAACCTTTCTTCCGTTTAAGACATGAATTATTGAATTACTGGAAAAGTTTGTAAGTGTTCATTAATTTTTTATTTTTCATCCTATACTCCATCTCTCTTCAATCTAATTAGAGTTTGCATGAGTACTGGATAACAGGAAGTACTGGGAAGCAGATTACCTTTCTCCTGTTCCTCTTCTTTTTAATGAGAACCATCTGAAATTGGCCCAGCATACGAGTTTCAACATCAAACGCTTGCAAGCTAAGTGAACACATCTGTTCAAGTGTTCGAGCTGCAAGGTGGGTCTGGATGGATTCGTGTGTTTAACCTGACAGAGCCCGTGGTCACTTTCTCAAGTTTATACTCAGCTAGCCTGGCTGGACTCCAAACTTTCCCTATGGAAGAAACGTAGCTTTGTAATTCACAGTGACTACTGGTATCTGGCAGGTAAACTTCCCACTCCGAAACCCAAAGGAAGCGTTTGGCCAATTGAATGTAACCGTGTTGAGTGATACCCTTTTATGTGGTGGTGAGATGATCTCATATCATCTGGTACCTATTTTTACAGTTAAGGAAATGATCCTGGGGTATTGATTCAGCAGCTATGGATGAAGGAATGTAGGTGGCCTCACTGATTCATGCAGGGATAGATGGAGCGAGGGACCTCTGGGCCAAGAGCGCCATTAGAATCTCAGGATGGTGTTTGAGGTAGAAGCCAGGAGAGGTAAGCGAGCCCACTCCCCAAATAACCCTTGACGCGATTGTCAGAAAGCGTGGGTCCGGAGCCGGCGTGGGGTTTCCTGTGCTGGGGGAGGGTGTCACACTTAGGCTCTAAATGATGACCAATGCCAGCTGTAGTATTTGACAAATACCCACAGCTGCGGTGGGAACGTATCTGATCTTAGTGTAGTAATATTAGAGTCAAGGTAGACGTGTGCTGTGAAAGGAACAACCTGTTGTCTTGGTTGGGATTCTCTTTGTTGTGGTGGAGTTAAGGTATTTTATTCTTGTAATACTGTCGCCCATGGGTTGTGGAAGATCACTTCTCATTCACTCTATCACCAAATATTTACCGAGTGATTTACCTTGCAGGCACTGGGAATACAGCTATGATGAGGTCACGGTCCCTCAGGGCGTTCTGAGGATACCTGGGGAGGCAATCCAGGAAACCATTCGTGTCAGTTCAGGGCTAGGGGCTGTGCAGAGGGGCCTGGAGGGCCAGGCTAACCCAGAAGGCAGAACCAGAGAAGGTTTCCTGATAGAGTACAGCAGGGGCTGTGTCCCAAAAGGACAAACGGGAAGAAAGCCAAAGACTTAAATGGAGTGGTGAGCCGAGGAAACAGCAGAAAACACGCTGAGTCCTGACAGAAGCCACAGGATGGCGATTTTAGTTGGAAGAGTGGGTGCAGTGAAGTCAGAGATGGGCGTGGGTAGGATTTTGGGGTGGAGCTGTGAGGGGAAAGAATGGGGTGAGTGAACTGGGAGGGCGGTATTCAAGGGGCTTGTGCGGTCAGAGAGAGAATGGACAAATGAGACTCGTTCTTACCTGAGAACAACGGCACAGTTCTGTCTTTCATAAACTAGCTCTACGATTGTACTGTTTAAAATAAAGACAGGCTTTTGAAGGACTTCTCCGGGGCTGTGCAAAAGAGCAGTCACCAGAGATGGAGCTAAATTGGTTCTGCACTGCTGAAATCACTAGAGTGGTTACATAGCAGCCATCCAGACTAGCTGCTCCTTCTGCAGGTGAGGAAGGTGAGGGCCAGGAAAAGGAAGACTTGCCCGGGGTCATGCAGTGGGTCAGGGCAGAGATGCCACCAGCGCTGGAACCAGCAGGTTCTTCATTCTCTCGATCATTTCCCAGGAAAGTCAGCTTTCTTAGGAATCCTTCTGCTTCTAGGCTGAATTCTTTTTAGCATTTGTAGAAAATCCAGCAATAGTATATTTGATGTTTAAATGAATGTAAAATGAATGTTTCCATCCCCTAAAAAAAAATTCCAGGACTCACCCATTCAAGCTCCTTTTATGTGGTAAAAGTAAAATTCAAAGAGATTTTTTTTTTCCTGAATAACTTTGTCCTGAATTATATCAAGTGTCTTTGTGTTTGGATATGAAATAATGGAAATAAGGATATAAATTTACTAATTTTATACCTCAGGGACTGTGATAAAAAACAGTAATTTACTCTTCTATTTGCAAATTAGGAAAGTAGAAGATTAAAATTATGCTTCCCTAAGTAGTTTTTCTGTTTCTGTCCTGTTTATACACCTGTGCAACTGAATGTTTTCCTCCAGCCTGGTGTGGAGAGAGGGGAGACGTGACAGACCCAGTGTAGACATAATTGTGAGTAGCAGCCACAGTGGGATGGGTAGGGTCAGGGGAAGTTGGAACCTGAGAGGCAGTTACCGTAGTGGAACACTCCAGGGAGGTGATAGCTATTAGTGAGTGTAGCTTTGTCTAGCTCCAATATAAAATGCTCTCAGAGGTATCATTTCTAAATGTTTAGGAGCAGTTTCAAAGCTTGCTTGCTCTTCTGTTAAGCAAATAAAGGCTTAGGATCAACCTAAAAGAACAGCTAATCAGGTTATGTTCACTGGTGGCAAATTTAGTTGTGACTGTAATTCCCATATGAAATTGTTCTGCCCTGGGCTGCGGTCTCACCCTGCTTGATAGAAGAATACGAGATCTGCTGTGGGTTCTATGTTGGAGGATTTTACTCTCCTCTTAGAATTGCTAGTACTAGATAGAGCTTAGGAAACAAGGGTGAAGATATTTTGAATTGATTAACTCAGATATGAGTTTCACCTTTTAAGCAAGTCCAGGAGAGAAATCAAATTGAAGCATGAAGGTACTAGAAAGAGCATGGGCTTTGGAGCCAGACAGACCTGGGTTTGAATCCTACCTCGGCAATTAGGGGTAGAAGGACATTTGGACCAATTATGTAAGCTTCAGGATTATCTTGCACCTCATCTGTAAATAACAAGTATTGGTGCCTTTCAAAGATGTTGTGAGGAATAACTGAAATAAACACAAGAGACATCAAATCATTACCAAGTTAGTTCACTTCTTCCAGATCCATGCTATAGACATTCAGCAGAGCATTTGTTAAATATAAGACTGTGCTAGATATTTGGGAGAGGCAGGATCAAAGAAGAATAAGACCTATATTCAGCTCTAAAGAGCTTACAGTTAAGTGGGGAAGATATGACATGCACACACTGCAGTCCACAAGCTCTGGCCATGCTGGCCTCATGTTCCTGGAACATTCAGGCACGCTTCTGCGTCCGCACTTGCCCTCCGCTCTTCCTGGAACTGCTGTCTCCTACTCCTTCACCTCCTTTAAATGAGCTTTACTCAAATATCACTTTGGTGAGACCTTCCCCGATCATCCTGTTTAAAATGAACTCCCTGGTGCCAGTATTCCCCATCCCTCTTCCTTGTTTTTCTCCCAACAAAATGTGTGTGTGAGTGTGTGTGTGTGTGTGTGTGCGCGCGCACGCACACGCACGCGCATGCACATATCTTCTCTTGCCGTGTGTTCCACCTGCCTCTTCAGTATGAACACCATGATTATCTGATTTATTTACTGCTCTATCCCTACTGCCTAGAACAGTGCCTGGTTAGGTACTCAGTAAGTGTTAATGGAATAAATGAGTGATCTAACTAAGTAATTCCAGGTACAGAGAGGGCCAGGCACAAAGAGCCCCAGTGGCCAGAGGAGCAGAAGGTATGTTAGGGACTACATTTTCTGTGGCTGCTGTAACAATTGATCATAAATATAGCATCTCAAAACAACTCAGATTTATTATTTTAGAGTTCTGTAGGCCAGAAGCCTGACCCAAGTCTCAGAAGGCCAAAATCAAGGTGTGGGCAAGGCTGCCTTCCTTTCTGGAAACTCCAGGGGACTGGTTCCTTGCCTTTGCCAGCTTCTGGTTAAGTTCTTCTCACAGCACATCACCCTGACCTCCTCTTTTGCCTCCCTCTTCTACTTCTAAGGACCCTTGTAATTATATTGGACCCACCTGGAAAGTCCGGGATACTCTCAGCTATTTTAAGGTCAGCTGATTAGCAACCTTAATCCCATCTACAACTTAATTCCCCTTTGCAATGTGGCCTAACATATTCACAGGTTTGGAGAGCAGGATGTGGACATCTTTGGGGATCCATTATTCTGCTTACCATAGAGACTAACATTTTGCTTAGATCTAGGGTTTAAGCTGCCAGTTGTGAAATGTAAAACTGGAACATTCAATCAGGAATGACCATGATTGTTAAGGTCTAATGGGTGAGCTTGATCTGGGAGGCAGTGGGAAGTTGCTGAAGGCTTTGGTGCAGGAGAGGGAGGTGATCTTTAGGAGATGAATACGGGCTTAAAGCAGGCATTTGAAGGGAGACTGTTGTTTACCTTCTTTTCTTTTCTTTTTTTGAGGCAGAGTCTCGCTCTGTTGTCCAGGCTGGAGTGCAGTGGCGTGGTCTTGGCTCACTGCAACCTCTGCCTCCCACGTTCAAGCCATTCTCCTGCCTCAGCCTCCCAAGTATCTGGGATTACAGGCGTGTGCCACTAGACCCAGCTAGTTTTTATATTTTTAGTAGAGACGAGGTTTTGTCATGTTGGCCAGGCTGGTCTCAAACTCCTGACCTCAGGTGATCCACCTGTCTCGGCCTCCCAAAGTGGTGGGATTACAGGCATGAGCCGCCGCATCCAGCCTGTTGTTTACCTTCTTAAGGGCATTTTATCTCCTCCCTCCTCCATGTACAGAAAGTTAGGGATGTATTTAGAATTAAAAAAAAAAAGTGCACCTATGGTGTCTTTTTAAAATCCACTCTACTATATCACACAGACACACAGCACATACACATAGAGGCCCACAAAGCCCAATTATGCAGACACAAGTGCTCCTATCTCCTCATACACACACCCACTGCCCCAGCCTCAGAAGGAGAGTCTCAGGATCTGTTTTCTGTGGTTCGTGGTGCTCTGCCCCTCCCTTTGTTTCTGCCCTGGCACACTTGAGTGATATTTCTTCTTCCCAAAAACACAGACTGACTCTGGCAGTGGTTCTCATGGGGTCGTTCTATAAACCTCCTTCAACGGGCACATGACAGTCTCCAGGGGGATGTCTAGAGTATGAAAATGTCCCTCGTTCCTCACCCTTATGTCATCCTTCACACTGGCCCTGCTTTCATGTAACTTCCTAGGGTGGTTCTTGTCTCTGACACCCGTTGAAAGTCTCATGGATAGTGAACACCTGGTTTTGAATAGTGTCTTCTAAGAGTGCTTACCCTTTGACTAGCCACCTGAAAGCAGCACTGTCCAACAGGACTTTCTGCAATGACATAGTGAACTGTTCTGTATCTGGGTTGTTGAGTGTGGTAGCCACAGCCGCATGCGGCTGTTAGCTTCTTGGAATGTGGCTGCTGCAGCTGAGGAACTGAGTTTTTTATTGTTTGAATTAATTTAAATTGAAATAGCCACACCTGGCTGGTGGCTACCTGTTAGTGCAGCTTTAAATAAGCAGGACTTGCTGAGCATGCTGAAAAGACCATAGCAGTATCTGTGGCAAACAGAGTAATATTTGACAAGAAGATAGCCTTTTGGAATCAAACAGACCTGGGGTGAAATTTTGGTTCCAGGCTAGTGATTGTCAGGTAAGTCACTTAATCTGAGTCTCAGTTTTGTCATGTATAAACTGGGTATGATCAGTGATATATTAGGGAGAAAGATGTTAGACACCCTCTGACCTGGGGGGAAGAAGAATATTTCACCTCTGAATTGTTGCACATAATAAACATCAGACCTACTTTTCGTTGGTTTTTATTATTATTTTTTAGTATTCTATAGACAGTGTGCCCTCTCATTGCCTGACCCAGGGTAGACTTTTTCCACTCCCTGCCTGTGTTACCCCATGGGATTTGACCTTACATACATAGAAGAGCTATGTGAAGATACTTACATACATAGAAGAGCTATGTGAAGATAAGACGATATCAGTAAATATCAGTAAATATCAATATCAGTAAATATCAGTAAAGCCTTCAGCATTGTGCACACATGTGGTTTTCAGTCATTCATTCAACAAGTGCTGAGTAAGCAACTACTATGTGCCAGGCACTGTGCTAGATGCCAGACGTACACTGGCCAACCGGAAGCAGAGGACCTGCTTACTGAATAGGAGGGCAGACATTTCATACATGGTAGCTCATAATTTTCTTTTGAATTTTTTCAGTGTTGGGGGATTTTGTTTTTAGTTTAGGTGGAAGTCAGAATTGGGTCACATGGGTGTAGTTGTACTTTATACTTAATAAGGTTTTAGCTGTAGGTCTCCTAACAAATAACTATTTATCCTATTCTTCTGTTTTTTTAAAATATCAGCATTATTGAGGTGTAATTCACCTGTGATGAAATTCACCCAGTTAAAGTGTACAGTTCAGTGGTTTTCAGTCTCTTTACAGAGTTGTGCAACTAGCATGGTGTCAATTTTAGAGCATTTTTATCACCCCAGAAGAAACTCCTACCCATTAGCAGTGACTCTCCAGTTCCCTCCAATCCTCTTAGCCCTAGGCAACCACAAATCGACTCTGTCTCTGTGGATTTGCCTCTTCTGGGCATGTCATATCCATGGAATCATACATGTGGTCTTTGTGATTGGCTTCTCGCTTAGCGTAACGTATTCAAGCCTCATCCATGTTGTAGCAGGTATCAGTACTTTATTGTGGAAAGGTTCATCCATGTTGTAGCATGTAGTACTTTATTGTGGAGTCATATTCCATTGTCTGGATATTTTATTGATAGACGTGTGAGTTGTTTCCATTTTTTGGCTATTATGAACAATGCTGCTGTGAATATTTGTGAACAAGTTTTTGTTGAACATACATGTTCATTTATCTTGGGTAGATACCTAGGAGTAGGACTGTTAATATGGTAACTCTAATTGGGAACATGAAAACTCTACGTTTAACCCTTTGAGGAACTTCCAGAGTGTTTTCCAAAGCTACCATTTTGCATTCTCATGTGCAGTGTATGAGGGTTTCCGTTTCTCTGCATCTTCACTAACCTTTGCTGTTATCCTGTCTTTTTGATTATAGCCATGGTAGTGGGTATCAAGTAACATCTCACTGTGGTTTTGCTTTATATATTTCCCTGATGATAAATGATGCCAAGCATCTTTTCAGGGGCTTGCAGGCCATTTGTATATCTGGGAGAAAGGTCTATTCACGTCCTTTGCCTATTACTAATTAGATTATTTGTCTTCCTTTTCTGGCCTGAGCAGGATGCTGATATGCTAACTGGTGATGAGCAAGTATGGAAGGAAGTTCAAGAATCCCTGAAAAAAATTGAAGAACTGAAGGCACACTGGAGTATCCTTTCGCCTGTGGATTGAGGTGGACTGTTGGGATTGTTTCCTTGTTTTCTTGAAGCCCTGTCGTAATGAGGTCAGAGGCGGGGTTTGACCTCTCCATGAGCCAGTGGTTTTCATTCTGTTCCATGGTCACAGGCCGCACCTCCGACCCTGGCCAGCAGTTTGAGTAATGACAAGGAAGTTCGTGGCAAAATCAGCGTGAATAATAACTCACTACCGTTAGGTAATAATCAAAACTCATGGCCTAGCAGTAGTAGGAAAGTAAGAATTAGTCTCTTTATATGTAAAAGGTAACAAATTCCTCAATTTTCTTCTCCCATAACCACTAACATCTCTAGGAAAGAGTAGCTTAGAATCCTTATCATTCAGTGCCATTGACCGTCAGACCCAGAAGCTTCATATTAAACCAGCCACGACTACAATGGCAGTGGGGATTGCTGCACGACACATTTTCTCAGCATGAATAGTAATGACCACAGGTGGACCAAAGTTCAGAGTAAGGAGAGACCATGTAGGATGAAGGTCATCTGGGAAGGCTCCACTAATGTTTTACTGTGCAAGATAGCCTGAGTCAGGGGCAGGATTTGGATAGGCCAAGGCTGAGAAGGAGGCCGCTCCTGGTAGAGGAGTTCATTGGAGTGAAGCTGTGATGAAGGGAAACAGCAGGCAAGAAGGAAGAGATCAAGGTGGATGAAAAGACTGCAAAAGGTCATTCAGAGGCTCTGGGGTAAATTTATATCCCAGGCACTAAGAACATAGCAGATGAGGTTTCCAATTTGCTGACGATGCTATTTAAAGAGTTGTAAAGAGCCAGAGAAGGAGGTAGAGGGAGGTTTCCAGTTTTAAAGGTGAAGGACATAATTTTGAATCAATAGCCCACTGAGTTTATTAGCAGTCTTGGGTAAAGAATCTAGGATTGGTTACTAAGGAATGGAAAAGAAAGCTGTGATCATCACAGTGCTGCCTGGTTTCTCCAAGAGCGAATGAATCCACAGAGTCACAGCTTTCTTTGGTAAAGTTTGTATCGAGACTTTAGAAAGGGATTTGACGAAAAGTAATCAAGAAACTTACATTAGATGTTAGCAAAGCTAACTGAATAGCTACACTGAAAAAATGATGTTACATGATTCAGTGTCATTCTGGAGTGTTGTTTTTCCATCTCGGGCCTCTTTAATGCATAATTCCATACCTCGAATGAAGATACAGAGGACAGGTTTATCAAATCTCCAAAGTGACGTAGATGGGGAGGATAATAGAGGTGGGATGATAGAATCAGTATCTCGAAAGAAAAAAAAGAGTTCAAAAGATCTCTAAATGTTTAAATGGTATCCAAGTTTTAAAGACATGAAATATAACAAGAACATATATAAAATTTCTATTCGGATCAAAAAGTTCAAATATGTAAATATGCATAAGAACATGTGAAAAAAATTTAGGGCTTTAGTAAATAGCAAAATTTAACAACATTTAAGAGTATAATATAATCTTAGTACTGTGATCTTGGGCTGCATTAATATTGATTATAAAATGATAGAGATGATAGTACCAGTCTGATTATTTCTGGAATTTTCTATTCAGTTTGAGGTGGGAAGTATTAAAAAGGATATAGAAAAACAAACTAGTTTTGAGGGGTGGAACTGAAATTAAGGAGGGATTTGAAACGCTGTCTATGATGAGATGGAAGATACTAGGAAAACGGAAAACAGTCAACTCTGGAAGCAGGAGGTCCCTGCTCATGGGCTCAAAGAGCCTTTATGTGCAGAGGAGTAGACCTGTTCTGTGTGGTCCCTGGCAGCGGTATTGGGGCCCATGGATAACCCAGCCAGAGTTCAGTTTCAACTGGACAAGGTTTTACTGAAAACGGACTGTGTGCTGGGTACCTTGCTGGTCATCATTCACCTGATGGTTCAGACAGAAGTTAGAAGACACAGCCCTGCACTCACTACTCTCCTATATTGTGGGGTAGTAAAATGTCCATTAATACATATTTTGGTAAAGATACAGACTTATGGCGGCATCAAAGACACAATAGTCAACTTTGGGAAGTTGAAAGATTTCACAGAGGAGGTGACCAGTGAGCTGCGTCTGGGAGGATTAGTGGGAGTTCACCAGACCAACCAAGAGAAGAGGCATCCAACACAAGGAATGACCTGTGCAGACGCGCAGAACATGCATTGCTACTGAGAAGCTGCTGGCTGTGCAATATGAGAGGAGGGGAAGGTGGCAAGGCCTTAACTGCCATGCACCGGTTAGACTTTATAGGTGAGAGGAGGCCATGGGATGATTTTTTAAGCAGTAGAGTAATATGATTAAGTGAATAAAAGCTCTGTGGTCTGACAGTCATTGAATCTCAGTAAGTTGAGTAATTCCCAAGTGAATTTACTTTGCTTCCCTTTCTCTTCCCCTGATCCTCTTATGGTCATTTAAAAGTATTCAGGAAAAAAAGATATCCGTTCTGTCCACTAGGAATCTGTTCTCTTTGGGTGCACTCTCCAGCCCTGCTAGGTCTAGAGCTCAGCTCCGTACTGGAACAGAGTGAATTGTAGTAAACACCACACAGATGCCAGGGACTAAATCTTTGAGCAAATACATGTCAGTAGTAGCTTGGGGGGAAAAGCCTCTTAGTTAAAATTATTCCATTTTTTGGCTCACTGGGGTGTTTTGCAGGAAAGGTTTTGCCTTGTTTGGCAAGAGACAGTTGCCAGCATTGTGAAGGGAAATTGGCACGTAGTCCCTTCCAGCTTGCTGGGGGATAAAATAAATGCATTCCTATGAGTAGCTGCAGAACATCACATCTGGCTTCTACTTCTAAGGCCTGTCACCTCGAACCTCTTTAGAATAAGTGGGAACATACATAAATGAACAGGCAAATAATAGTGGAGGTCAAACAGCACAATGTTAAAATAAGGTACAAGTCTTGCCACAGAAATGTCTAGCAATGTGTAAGAGACAGTCATTCCTCCTGACAGTTCGTCAAATATCTAATCCTGGAATGAAAAGCCACGGAGGTTAGCCCAGCAATCTGTTACAAAATCAGTGCGTTGCCTAAGATACTGCTTCCCCCAACCTCTAGGGGATACATTCAGCAAACTTTGAACATACATGTCAGATGAATGCAAGAGCAAATCATGCACTCGCTTTTCTTCAGGAAATGAACCTTTTCTGGGATCAGGGTCAATTCCTCCAAGACGGGACTCATCCTAACATTGTAGTGGGTGTGATGGAACAGGCTCTCAGCTGTGCATTGGGGTGCTTTAAATTCTCATCAAGGAACTCATCTTTTGGAGTAAGATACTGTGTCTCCGGGAGGCCTTTGCTGGAAAGAAAATACATTTGCTGTGAAAGTTCATAAAGGTATTTGTCTCCACTCTCAGGAGTGGCTTGATTGGTTTATTAGAAGTATTTGCTAATGTTTCAGAAAGCCGTGTTCTGAGAAGGGTATGGACATTCGAAGAGGAAGGTTTTGCTGGACAGAGAGGGAGAGGGGACCATAAACAGTGAGCTGTCTGCTCAGGGCTGGGCGTGCTCTGTTAGGACCTCAGTGAAGAGGGTTTTGAATTGGGGGCAGGGGATGGCACAGAGAGCATGGATTGTAAAGGGACCAGGTCATGTGGGAGTGGGAGGGGTGTGGGGGCACGAAGGGGGCACTGAGTTCAGTCAAACTCAGTCCACTGAACCACTTTCTTTAAGCCCAGTCAGGCTCAGAGGTCATGTCACAGAGGGAAGGTGGAAGGCACTAATGCTTGTGTAGCATGTGCTTTGTGCATGCCACGAAATGTTCCCCACTGTGTCTCTGACACCTGGAACTCTCCCTGGCTCATGAGAGGACACATCATGAACTGTGTCATTTTACATACAATATATTACTCATTCTTACGTTGACGTGAGTCATTTCTATTTCTGGCCTATCATTAAGCACTTTGACTTCCTCAGAACCTCAACTCTGATAAATGACAGGACTCGATTAGATCTGAATCTAGCTTTACTACAGTCAAAGGCTAGGCTGCCATTTCTGATCTTCAAACCTTTTCACCCTACTGGAATGACAACATATGAAGCAGATGAATTTGGAGCTCCACTGGGTGAAGGTGAGACAGGAGTGAGAGAAGGACCAGTCCCAGTCCTGCACCCTCCTTGGTCTCCAGCTCGCCTAACACACCGCACAGTGAAGAAACTGCGAGGTCCCAGGGTCCTGCACTCTGGCCTTCGCTGTGTTTCCCAGAGAATTCACTGGGGAGGGATTAAAATTACGCTCCATAAACCATGTCCTCAGTCCTCTGACTGCCTCTGTAAGACAGGGAATATCAGTTTTAAAAAGCGAAGTCACTCCAAGGCTACATGAGATGAAGTTACTGACTCATGGTTAATCAGAAAGGCAGTTACTGAGAAGTGGACATTGAGTCTTCTCCCCATCCTTTTTAAAGCATCGTTTCCCTTGCCAGCAATTGATGTGCATAAGCCATGTTCCTAATACTGTCTCTTATTTTGGGGGTTTAAAATAACATATTTTAATGTATTTGGTTAAGTACAGGCTGGGGTCACTGTTGCTTTATAATCGGAAAAAATGAGACCCAGTGGAAATCTATGTCTTCAAATTGCTCCACCTAGTGTGTGCCTGTGGGTTGTGTGAGTTTTTGGGTTCATGTATGCCCAAAACTCAGGTAACACAGAAGCAAACATGAGCTCTTCCTTTTGAAAAAGGAATCTCTCTAAAGCATCTTTAATTTCAAACAGTTTTTAAACAGAAGCTAACAGAGTAAATAATTTAAAATCGAATTAACTTAATCTTTAGTCCAATTTAATAAAGGACTGCATTTATTTATGACTAGATTTAAAGAGAACACATCTAGGAGTATGAAGCAAGAACAGGTCTTTGGAAGTTTTAAAACTCCAAAGCACAGGCCTGGTTACGAGATAGTTTGTTGATGTAAACAGAATTCACTTCACTGAGATGCCTCTTCTGTGCTTTTGCTTCTCAAGTGTGTTTTCAGGCAGCTCATCTGTGAAAAATAACGGGTGCTTCCCTCGCTCCTGTGCTTGGGAGCTCTTTAGCCTTTTAGAGAATCTAATTTTGTTTGTTTTTTTCTTGATGAAGACAATGAATCCTTAACTAAGGTTAATAACAGAGTGGGAGCAGGTTCTGGCCATGTGCCAGGCAATCATAAGCAGCAATTCTGAACGGCTTCCCGATATCAACATCTACCAGCTGAAGGTGCTCGACTGCGCCATGGATGCCTGCATCAACCTCGGCCTGTTGGAGGAAGCCTTGTTCTATGGTACTCGGACCATGGAGCCATACAGGCAAGTCCCAGGGAGAGGGCTGACATAAGGGCTAGGACGTCTTCACGTTGGGCAAAGGATCCATGTTGTGAAGTCATTCTGATTACTACTTTGCATGGAGCATTTCCAGCTGCTTCTCAACCATTGTTTAAAACCAAGTCTTATTTTATTCACTCCTCTTGTTCATTCACTTATGCATTCATTCATCATTTGTAAAGTTCCTTCCATGTGTCAGACACCGTGGGTGTACAGAAACTAATTAGATGCTGTCTCTATCTGGAGCAGATGATTACAATACGATGTGGCGCTTGCAGTGACAAAGACGGGCTCAGGGTGGTGGGGGAGCTGTAGAGGAACGCAGGCTCAGACCTAGCTTGAGAGGCTGTGTCATGAGCCTCTGCTGGTCCAGGTGAGGATGGCCATATGGGGCCCTTGGTCTGGCTGACAGTAAGAATGGTCCTTTATCTCTCTCAGGATTTATGCTTTCAGTTGAATCATTTGCCTTCATAATCACCTTGTGAGCCAGGGAGGACAGCAGGGAGACGGCCCTGCCTCAGCTTCTCCTTGAGTCAGGTGAAGGAACTATAGGTAATTGCTTCTTGACTGATCTCAGCTCCTGGAGACCAGTAGGTGTTTTGCCCTGAGATGTTTTTATAACTCAGAAAAGCATTGAAGGGGGTAGTGTTGAACTGCTGAGAGTTAGGCGCTGGTGGATGCTGCACCCTGATTTGCAGTCGGCTGAGAACATAATTCTAGAAGGTGAGACGGAGAGCAGCCCAAGGGGAAGGGCACGGAGACATGTGGACCATAATCTGAGGTGGGAATGGCTCAGTCTCTAGCACAGAACAAGGTTGCTGGCGGGAAGGTACCTCGAAAGCACCTGTGACCAGGAGCGATGGCAGAGGGAGGAGGTCCCTGGAGAACAGGGGCTCCAACCTGGGCAGATCTTTAATTTCCCAGCTTTGCAGACTGTGCAAATACCATGTCAGCCCAAAGGGGCAACGTAGGACAACAGGCAGGGAATGGCTGTAAGCGAAGAGGAGCAGGTGGAAACGTGAGAGTCCAGGGTACTTCCTGTTCCCGCTAGAGGGAGAGGAATTTCCCAGGGTCAACATAAGAACAGAAGTGAGTCCAGGGTCTAGGATATTTGTTTGGACAAAGGTAGTAAACCAGAAATGAGGTGTTTGGTCAGGAAGCCAGGCGTGAGCCAGGAGCTTGGTGCAGTCCACAAGGACCCCGAAGACGGCAGAGGCTCCACCAGCCAGGCGGATGGCAGAGGTCCCTGGCCAGCCAGTGCCACCAGCCTGACCCTGAGCATGTTTTCGGGACTTCTGTAGATGGTTTCCTCCACTGCCTGTGGGTGAACAGCTTTGGAATCCAGACTGTGAGTCAGCTTTAATCAAATGTATGAGGGATTGGCTTGAGGGCTGAGACTGTAGACTTTCCCATGAGCAGTGAAATGCCTGCTCAGAGTGATCGATCTTGTGGGTTCTCGGAAAATACGAATCGCATTCAAAGAGATAAGGCTTCCTCTCTGAGCCTTAGTGTTGCAAAAAGAGGCAGGTCAGATGGTTGGCGTTACCTCTCTGAACTCCAGGGCTTGCTCTGAGGAAGCCAAACAGCCTCTGGGTGAGTGGATAAACTCCATCCAAAAGATGCAGACTGAAAAATACCCTTCTTTCTCCAGGCCCCCAACAGCAGCTGCTGGTTCCTCACTCTTGGCTAGCGCTGCACTGATTCTTCTGCCTCATCCTCCCTTTCGACACTCAGGCTGCCCTGCTCGGGCCACTCTTAAGCACAGAAACTTTACATGGGTCCACCACATCCATAAAGAAGACCACACACCTACACGGGTGTCTGTTCTGCACGTATTTTGCAACCTTCTCTTCCCCACATCTACCAGGGCCTCTTTGAGGCACTAACTTACACCTTAAGTAGCTGGCAGTTTGACTGACTTTAAACAAAGAGGCCTTTCTTGTAAGTGAGGCCAAGTCCTCCACCAGAATACAGTCCATTATGTTTGGGAAACGTTTGGTTATATTTACATGGTGTTTGGCAGGTCACAATCTCTTTAAGTGTGTGCTGTGTTCTTATGCTGGGTGACAAATTTCCAAGCCTCCCTTGGTTTCTCTTCCCTGGCGTGTGTTGAGTTGCTTTTTGGTGGTATTTCAAGAAATCCAATCTGCATTGATCCACTTCACATGAGTGAGGTACGAATCATTTGCTTTTAAAGCTGTAGTTGAGGAAAAGGCTATAAATAAACCAGAACCAACAAAGTTGAGAGAAATGGGCAGGTTAGATGTTGTCATACTTTGCCTTTTTCCCCTTTAGCTCAGGCAGAGGTAAAAATAAGGAATGTATGCAAATAGGTCAGGTACCCTGCAACCCTGTTAGCAATTTTGGAACAAAGGCAGGAATGGAGAAGTTGGCAGTGGTTTTCACCTCTCACATGTGCATGAGGGAATTCACACTGAGTGCTCTCAGCCCCCCGCATCGGCTCCCTGCAGACGCAGGAGGTGGGCCTTTTGCTCACCTTTAGCCAAGGACACAGACAGTTAGCTAGGCATGAGTTACCAAGGGATGATTGCATTGCCATCTGCTGTAACAGTTTTACAATGTTAATATATTGTTTGCAACAACTAGATGGAGGTCAAGTCTTTCTTGATGATTTTGTCACTCCTGACCTTGGCTAAATTTTAATTGCTGACCTTAGAGGAGAAAGTGCTGCTATTCCATTTTAATCCAAATTATGGCCTTCAGCTCCCTTCTTGCTACTCTCATTTATTTTTACTCAATAGATTTTACTCAGTTTTTATGACGCAACTCAACATTACATCCTTCATGTTTCATAAAACAAGTTAGAAATCACATACAACAAAATGTATAATGTTTAGTATTAGCCCATAGTATGTCTTCTGATAGTATCGGCATATATATGTGACTAATATGGAAACTCATCTGTCCCTTAGCATTGTAAACAGGAAGTAGAATGAAGATAATTTTAAAATACTTCATAAATTTTATTTAAAAGTTTAACTTAGTCTAATGTTAATTCGCCAATTAGTAGTTCAGAACTTGGGATGCATTTTCCTATTAAAGATGGTTACAGATTATGGTGATGTCTCCAGACTAACCCATGAAAGTCTACTCAGCCTTTGATAGCACCACTGTATGGGCTATAAATTCCCCCCCCAGCCCCTAAAAACGGAGAGAAAAATACAAAATTGAGCACATTGTTTTAAAATTTTTGTGCGTCGAATATTAATTAAATTTGACTTTTCTTTCGGAACTAGAGAGTGATAAGGAGATATAGAGGGTGTTTCCGGCTTTGAAGAGGACTTTCAGGACATTCGCCCGTTCTGTTCATTTCTGTTGCGAGATTAACATATGCTTGTAGGGAAGGACAATTTAAGAGGACAGAAAGGTAAAAATCAGCCTCATCTTCAAACTGTTGTCCCACTCCTTAAAGATAAACATGGCTAAAAGTTTCCTTCTGGAAATGTTCCGTGTGAGAGTGGCCGGTCTGAATATATTCCAGAGCCAGATAGACCTCCGTCTTAGCATGGTGTCAGAGGATTGAAAGTAAACAGTAATCCTAACCTTCGCCAGAAAACATGAACAATGGTTCCATCATAATACACAGAATGTTTTTTTAAAGCCCTGCTTCCCCCATTCCTTTTATTCTGCTTTCCCAGTTACTCTCAACTCTCTTCCCTTCAGAACTGTTCACGTGGGCTCTTCCACTTTCTCCTGCACTTCTGCGTTTTTCCTGCTTGTCTTGCTGGGGGAAAGACTCATTTCCAATAGGTCTTTTAAATATGCCTGCTGAGGTGGTGTATGGAGGAGTGGGGATTAGAGAAAAGGAAGGGAAGCCAAGCCAAAGGTCCTCCTTAGTGTGCGGGAAAAAGAGAGAGAGAGAGAGAAAAGGATAACTCCCTAGCCCATGTTCTGTAACTTTTTTCACTTTACAAGAGAGTGTAGACATCTGTCTAGATTAGCTCCAGATTAGCTACCTTATTCTTTTTAACAGATACATAGTATTTCATCTCATGGATATGCCATAATTTTTAGATCAATCTCTGTCGTTTCCATTTATGTGTACTGTGTCAAACAGTGCCATGATTAATTGAATCCATAGGGTAAATCCACATGAGAAATTCCTAAGTGGTAACTTGGTACATCAAAAGTTAGGTCCCCCTGCTCTTAAAGTGAAAGTTATATTTATTTTAAATTTGGATAACCATTTCCAAATTGTACCTCCCCCACCACACACACTAAAATGTCACTCTTTCCTCAAGAAAATATGAGAAGAGATGACGTTGACTTCCGTTGTTTCTGATCTAAAGCCATTTCAAAACGTATTAGGGCCTTCATCTCTTCTTTCATCAAAGCCCACATTATAGGGTAAGATTTGTTGATATTAATTTTGTTGTCCATAAATAGTATTTTTGTGCTGGTGGGAATGACACTTTTGTGACGTACCTGGGAAAAAGGCAGAAGAACAAGAATGATGAAGAGACTTAAGTTGTGATCAGAGAAAGAGGCAAGGGAGGTGGGCTATGAAATCTCCATCAAGGAGAAGAAAGCTGATAAGAGTGAGATTTCAGCTCAGATAGTTTTCTGTGCTTTGTTGTCAGAAAAAATGGGGGCAGGTGGAGAGAGTGGAAGTATAATGCAGCTGGTAGTTTGTGTACCTGCCATGGTTACAAATCAGGGGTTTGTAACTGAGAGATTGTCAGTTAATTACATAGCAGCCCCATTCGTTTTTAATTTTGCGGGGGATTTTTTTTTTCTCCTTTTTTTGAGAAGGTTTGGAAGATAGGTTGATAAACTATGAGATTTCCTCATAACAGTACCTTCTACTGTTTTCAAGCAGGCTTTTCTGAAGAACTCCAGTTGTTCTTTCATGGGTTTTTGTCAGTGTGACATTCTGGTACAGGAGTCTGCAGAGCTTGCCGGGTACATGTTATAGTGGGAAGACCTGAGCGCACGTTTGGTGCAGCCACGCGCCCAGCGCTTGCTTTGGGCCTGCCTTCCTGACCCCGCATCCCAGGTGCGTATTACAGTGGGAGGACCTGAGCGCGCGTTCGATGCCGTCACATACCCAGCGCTTGCTTTGGGTCTGCCTCTCCCAATCCCGCATCTCTCCTTGTTGCTCAGATGTTGTTAGCTTGCTCTCTGAGGACGCTTGTGTCATTGTCTCTGACAACGAAGCTCATTCCTAGAGGGCAGGCTGGGTCCTTGGCTGTTGTATCTAGTTTAGAACTTTTCCTAATCCATGCTCATGGAGTAGGACCTAGAGAACAACTCAGAGCCAGTTCTCACCCCAGAAGAAGAAATAACTATCTGAACTTCATCCAACATTCTTTCCACGTATGTTGTTTGCCATTTATTGTCTCTGATGAGATTTAGAGAATTATTTCACCTGATAAATGAATAAATGTTTTCTTCTCTGCTTATTAAAGTGAACAGTAATCTTGTAGCCACTTAATCATGTTTTCCATGCTGTAGTTTTCAATTAAAGTATCTTTAGTGGAAGACCCTCGATACAAGACTCTGAGCTCTGTATGTGCGTGTGTTCGTATGTGTGAAATACTGAATTATCTGGCATGCCTAATCAGGGCCTCTTTCTGTTTGCTGTCCATTTTGTAAGGTTTATTTCTTACTGGGACACTGGGGCCGTGATCACCTGCACAGTGATGGGCGAAGGGTCCGTCAAGACCCAAGCATTTTTAAAAACTTTTAAATATAAGCCTTTTAATTTAATTCTGAAAGACTTTCTTAATGCAGAATCTAGACATAAAATCCAATGAAAAAGGAGGTGAAAGAGGGGAAAATAGAGAAAGAGGGAAGATGAAGAAGAAGGAAAGAAGATATGACAATGACTAGTAGATATTTATTACACCACTGACTTGCGCTTAGGCCTCATTACTTATGTTTTACTTTTATGGATAATCCAAGGCTAATATGAGGGTTTAGGTAGGAGGTAATGGAGAACATTATGACCGATTTCTCTGGCTCTTCTTTTCTTGGAACAAGAGAAATGAGAACATCTCTGCTTCAGCCATCTACTCCTCTAAAGTACCTTGACTTCCTTTAGCCCTAATCACCTTGCTTGAGATGCCACCTGTACGTTTGGGTAAAGACCTTCATTGCCCAGCTTTGTGGAGTGGTTCCAGCACTGAACCTACTGGTTGGTGTGAGAATGACCCAGCCTTGTAGTCTTACTTCTGGAAGAAAAATCTAGGACACTCTGTGCATGGAACTGGCATAAGCTCTGGCCCTTCAACACCTCTGAAAAAGAGGAGGCAGGGTGCCTTGGGCCTACTCCTTCTCCTGAATGTAGCAGCTCTTCTGACCATTGCTGTCACCTCAGGCATTTGAACAAGTGTTGCACATTCTGACAGAGCTTTGGATGACAGCAGACAGGCTTAGGTGATCTGGCAGCTTCACATACCATGCCTTCATCCAGCTTGCCTATTTCCCATCTGTCTTAAGGATGAAACAAAATGATTGGGTGCTGCTGATGTATGTGTAGCCCCTACTGGGAAGGGGAGGTGACCCATTCATTGCTTCCAACATGCTGCTGCACATGGCAGAACATGCATAAAGCCTGTGCTTTCCGTCACCTCCTGGCCATACATCTCTATAGTGTTTCACTCCTGGCTAGTAGAGGCCACTACTCAACCATCTTTCAGAGGACCCCATCTTCTGTTTCACTCTGGACAGCATTGCCAGAACCTGCTGCTGAACTTTATTCTGGTAACTCTCCCTGTAGCAAGAGTGCTAGATATAGTCCACAGCCACTTTCAGACAAGAGAATTGAGAAGCTGCTTGTTCCTCCCCTGTCCCCGTTATGAGCTCCACTGTGCAGCTGTCGTCCTGCCCCAAGTCTGTGTGTGTCTTTCCACATCAATGCTAGCAGGCATGGGGCTTTAGGAAATCAGATCTCTGTAGGAACCTCCATCTTATTTGTATGCAAGAAGTCGAATATGGCCTTTAGATATGCCTTGGCCGGTAGGAGACAGAGCAAGAGATATCATTTGGACTAAAGAAGCCTGCCCATCTTCTCTACCTGATTCTCAGCTTACTGCATGGCCTCCTGGATGTATAGATCATAGTTGATTTGAATGGGTACATCTCACATTCCTGGGTCAGGCACTTTTACTCATCCTTTTCAACAAAAATATTTATGGAGACCTACCTACTTAAATGCACTGTGGTAAACGAAACAGGCAATACAAAGTCCTCATTCTGGTGGAGCTTACAGATAGCCTTCAACAGCCAGCTGAGGGGCACCTGTGAGCATCTCCAGAAAACCAGGCCTTTGACAACCTGAGGAGGAATTGCTGGACCAAATCCGGCCTGGCCAGTGATGGACAAGGTTTTTAGAGTGCTAGAGTAGGAGGCCCTGCAGTGGATCAAGTACTTATCTCTCTTGGAGGTCCCCGATTGATTTTCAGGATTTCATTCATCATTCTACTATTTTAAAGCCTCATATAGAGAATCTAGTGCCTCTGATTTCCCAAAGCCCTCCCTATGGCTAAACCCCTGTTTAGCTCCACACTGTCATCCTCTGAGCTGGAAGGGTACCCAGAAGCCAGGGCCAGCATGCTCAGGCCTTGGAGTGACTGGCGTAAAGCTGGAGGCTGTGCTCATGACCAGCTTGATGGGTGCTAGTTGGCCACCAGAGGATGCCTTCTCCCAGAAGCCAGCAGTCCAGGGGACACTGATGGGGGAATATCATCATTTGACATGGCTTTGTTTATGCAGCTATTTTAGGGTAGCCTCATTTTGTTTTTATTTTGTTTTTTGAGACACAGGGTCTTGCTCTGTTGTCCAGGCTGGAGTGTAGTGGTGCAAACACTTCTCACTGCAGTGTTTACTTCCTGGGCTCAAGTGTTCCTCCCACCTCAGCCTCTCGAGTAGATGAGGGGGGACCACAGGCACACACCCTGACACCAAGCTAATTAAAGAAATTTTTTTTTGTAGAGGCAGGGTCTTGTAATGTTGCCCAGGCTAGTCTTGAACTCCTGGGCCCAAGTGATCCTCGCACCTTGGCCTCCCAAAGTTCTGGGATTACAGGTGTGAGCCACTGAACCCAGCCTGGGATAGCTTTAGAATCAAACTTAAACTCTCACCTACCTTTACTATAAAATAATGTGTAAAATAGAGGTTCTGCCCTGAGAAATAATCTGCCTAAAACACTTTCGGGTTCTTTATACACAGTTACAGCTGACCAAGTGATTAAGTATCAACAAAAATTGTGCAGTGGCATTTCTGAGAGCCCCAGGACCGTGTGGGGTGGAGCCAAGAAAGCCTGTAATATGAAGTTAGTGGCTTTACATCTGGCCAGGGCGACCTGTGACAGCATGATTCCACTTGCATTTCTCATTTCTGCCCCTCCTTTGCCTCCCATCCTTACCTGGGACAAGGATATCAATTCCTTTTTCCCCCCAAACCCCAAGTTATACATAATTCCTACCCATTTTTATACTCTTCCCTGGCTATGCCAGGACCCTGGAAACCCATACCTTTTCTCTCTGTCATCAAGACAGTGAATAGGCCGGACACAGTGGCTCACGCTTGCAATCCCAGCACTTTGGGAGGCCAAGGCAGGCATATTGCTTGAGTCCTGGAGTTCAAGACCAGCCTGGGCAACATGGTGAAACCCCATCTCTACTAAAAATGTGAAGATTAGCTGGGAGAGGTGGCATGTGCCTGTAGTCCCAGCCACCAGGGAGGATGAGGTGAGAGGATCGCTTGAGTCTGGGAGGTCAAGGCTGCAGTGAGCTGTGATCACGTCGTTGCACTCTAACCTGGGTGACTGAGCGAGACCCTGTCTCAAAATAAAATAAATAATATAAAATAAAATAAATAAAATAAAGATGGTAAATAGCAGAGCTCCTAATTTCAAATCAGAAGTGATAATCCTGCACTATTACCACCTTAGAGAGGCCCAAGTTCTGGTAAGAAGTACACTGATCAACACTGGGTTCTAGAGAACTCTCCTAAGTGGCAGTGCCACCTGACTCCCCTTTTGGTCCATACACATAACTCATCTCTGCTGGAAGTTGGAAGATCTGCCCCCCAAACCCCCTCAAGGTAACTGGAGGTCTTCAAACCTTTATCTTAAAGCACGGTGTAAAATATCCTCCCGATGCCAAATTCCTCCATTTGACTTTCACCAAATCCTGCTCTTTCTGATAATCCAATCCCCTCTTTTAACACTCAAGCTCCCAGTCAAGAACCATGTGCTAAGGGGAGCTGCTGGATTTCCTGTAACAGCATGAGTCATTCTAGGTAGCAGTAGTCTACTGGGAAAAGTTCAGACCAGGAGGGAGCCACTAGAATCTACTTTGTACCTTTGGATAACTTCCTAGTGAAAGTTTTTGTCCAACCTGGAGGGACCCCAGTCCTGTGCCTCCTTGGTTGCAGTATCCAAGGAAAACAGAAGTTCCCAGCTATAGCTTTCACCCAGCCCATAGATGCTCGTGGTCCTAAAAGGCTTCCTGAACTCTAATGTTTTAGATACTAATTCCAGGATCTGTCTTCAGAATCCATTTGTTTTTCTGTCTGGCCTATCCTCCTTGGAGATATTTCATTCTGGCTCATATACTTTCTCTCTGCTCACTGTCTACCTTCTACATTCTCCTCTGCTGCTCCTCCCTACCTGCAGCAAGGATACCTGTTTCCCTTTACTCCAAAATCCCACAGCTGTGGACCAACCCCACTTATTCCCCGTCTACCTTGCTTGGCTCTTGAGCCACCAACCCAGGCCAGGACATAAGAAATACCTTTTGTGGGCCTAGCACAGTGGCTCACACCTGTAATCCCAGCACTTTGGGAGGCTAAGGTGGGAAGATAACTTGAGCCCAGGAGTTCAAGACAGACCTGGGTGACACAGCAAGACTTCATCTCTACTAAACATAAAAAAAGTAGATGGGCGTGGTGGTGGTTGGTGCCTGTAGTCCCAGCTATTTGAGAGGCTGAGGCAGGAGGATCCCTCGAGCCCAGGAGTTCGAGGCTGCAGGGAACCACCACATGCTCCAACTTGGGTTAAGAGTCAGTCTCTGTCTCTTAACAACAACAAAAAATCCAGTCAAGGTGGCTCATGCCTGTAGGCCTTAGCACTTTGGGAGGCCAAGGTGGGCAGATCACTTGAGCCCAGGATTGGGACCAGCCTGGGCAACATGATGAAACCCTATCTCTACCAAGAAATACACACACACACACACAGAAAAAAATAACTCGGCATGGTGGCTCAAGCCTATAGTTCCAGCTACTCAGAGGCTGAGGTGGAAGGAAGGATCACTTGAGCCCATGGAGGTCGAGGCTACAGTGAACCATGTTCATACCACTGTATTCCAGCTTGGGCAACAGCATGAGACCCTGTCTCCAAAAAAAAAAAAAGACTTTATCTCTGTTGCATTTGCCTGACTTTCAGTATAAACAACTTCCTTGTGGAATAAGATGGAAGCCACACTCCACTCCTGGGACTAGGTCACCTGAACAGGAAAACATTTAATTGTTTGTGGTTCACCAGTATGTATGGGGCTAGGTCACCTGAACAGGAAAACATTTGTTTGTGTTGACCAGTGTGTATGAGCAATATATATGATTTGAGAAATTGTGTTTAGGCTTCCTATGTTGTGAAAGCATTTCCAGAATAAGACATTTTCCATTGTAGTTCAATTTTTTTTTAACTTGAACAAGCCATCACTGAGCACTTTGACTTTCCTGATAGAAAAATTTTCAGTTTCTTATTACAACAAATTGTACTCTAAGCAGCAGGATACCAAATTCCTAGGGAATCTTTTGGGATGCATTGAATTTCTCCTGTTGAATCAGTCTCTTGTTTGGCTTCCGTGCAGCTACCAAGCTGCTCTCTTTTCTTTTTCTCACCTCGTGGAAGAGAAAGTAGGAAAAAAAGAAATCCCATTTCCCCTGTAGGGAGCCAAAAGAAATCAGGTGGGCCTGAAAAATGGGTAATGAAGGATAAAACTTTGAATGACTCAAACACATTAAAACCCATTTTAATTTTATGTAAAGGACACACTTCATAATTTTGAAAATATGATCAGCACGCTTACATGCTACTTGTGTATTTTGAGTGAAGTTCATATAGAGTTTTCAGAAACTCCCGAAGGATAGATGGATGGGACTTCAGTTACAATGCAAACATAAAACTAACTTGTCAGACCTTATAATATTTGATCGCTTGTAGAGAAGGATAATGGCATTTATAATGAGCAGTAAGAGGTCCTTGAAAGAAATAAAAAGTGGGGTATAAATGACCCCCAAAATTACAGTTATTTAGAGCAAGGAAAATATCTTCTGGGCTGGTTAGTATAAAGCTCTTGAGCTCGTGAGATAGAATGGAAAAATGTGTACTATTCTTATTGTTAGATGTGTTAAGGGAAATGGCCCAGCCAGGTTCTGGGGAACTGAAGTAGCAAGGGTGGCCAGCCATAGCCTTTGAACAGGGAGAGAGCAGGGGCTTGGGAGTAGTGAGAGGAGTGGAGACAGTGCCCTGCTCTGCAAAGAGGGAAACAGATGATGGAAATTGCTCTTCCTGCATAAAGGACACCAATCATAATAACACTGCCCTTCAGTATGAAAGAGGAACAAATCTGCTCTCACCTGTAATTGGAAATAGCACCGTAATGTCCTCCCAACGTGAGATAAACTGGATTCAACAATCATAAAAGCATCTGCCAGCTATTGGTTAGCATCATCTTTCTAGGGGAGTAGGTGAAAGGACTTTAAGGACTCTACCTTTCAACTTTCTTTAACTGAAAAGTAATTGCTGTTATTTATTAAGAGGCTACTGTGGACCAAGCAACTTGCTTGTCCTTCTAATCCTCACAGCCAGAGTGAGAAGGATGTTAACCTCTCTTGTCCTCTGTGGCAGAAGCTGAGGCTGAGACTTAGTAACTTGCACACTCCATGACGGAGCCAAGATTCAAACTCAGGCCATGGATTCATTTATTTTATTTTGGCTATAATTTTTTAAAGCATTTGAGTCAGCCTGAACCCAGATTGGCTTTGTTAGAAAAGTATAAACTATTACTACACTACAGAGGGCTCTAGTGGTCTTTCCACTATACCATTCTGTTTTCCTACCATATGACTCTGTGATGCTAATTTTAATACAAGTAACAGAAATCCACCTGAGCACCTTCACGCAGAGTAGAATCTGTTGCCTACACACTGCACAGCCAGCCACAGATCTACTGCGATGGAATTCAGGGATGCAGTCTGGGCCGTCGGACTGACGTCTGGCTCCTTTGCTTTCTTGCTCTTGCGTTCTTTTTCTCTCCCTCCTTCCTTCCCTTCCTGGATGCTGTCCTCATTCTTCCTCACAGTCTTGTCCACAGCGTGGTGAGACAGATGGCTTCCAGCAGCTTCTTCCCCCCCACCCCATTCATGTTCTGCTATCTGTATAACAAAAGAAAAAGTTCTATTCCCTCCAGCTCCAGATTTAAAAACTGTGTATTTGGGATGGATGGCTTTGGCCTTTGTGGGTCTCACACCCAACCCTGCCTGGACCGAGGGAGATGAGGTGCTGGCAGCCCTGCCAAAAATGCAGGTTTGAAATGGGACAGACATTCTTGAAAACCTAGGAGGGTGGGTGAACTCTGGACAAACCAGAAGAATAGATGTCCACTGTACTATTCCACTCAGAAATAGTCTAATAAACATTTCAGATAGAAAACGACTCAAAGATGGTAAAGAGAATCCAATAAAAAGACTGATGAAAGGACAATTACATGAGAGAGAAGGAAGCAGCAGCTCTCCGCCATTATGTTATGCACTGGGGATTGAGCTTTGCAAGAGCAGGTTCTTAGAATTTCCAAGGGAACAGCAGGACCCACTTGGACCAGAGCACAAGCCAGCCATTTAGGAGGAAGTCTGAGAGCTGGAAAAGGAAAAGATGGATCTCTAGAAAGCAGCTGAGGTCCTACCTGGAGCAAAGAAATTATGTCAGGACCTGATGTACCTGATGGCAGTGTGTGACATACTCTATGGAGGTTCTCCAGTTCCCCTGTGTGCTATCTCCTTCTGGCTACAGGCATTAAGTAATATAGCCAGAATGCTACAAAATGTAGCATTTATTTTGGAAATGCTACAGAAACAGTGCACCTTGATATCAGCAAGGCATTTGATAGTGTCTCCTGGCACATTTCCTATGGATGGAAAAATAGGAGTTAGTGAGGTTAATTTATACCTTTTAAATAGCTATTTCTGAACCATAGTCTTTCACAGATTGATAGACCCCTTTGGGGAAATACGCAGTGGGGTATATGCCTCAAAGCTCAGTGTTTTTTTGGTCTTAATGGTTCTCATTAATCAAAGACTTAATGAGAAGAATACGTAGAAGTTATGTATATCAAATATGGAAGGGATTCAAAGCAGAGAAGAATCTTTTGGAGAGCTGAACCAAAGTTCAAATTAATTCCTTAATCAGAAGCATTTGGCATCAAAGTGAGTAGGGGTACACGGAAAAGTCTTCATTTGGAAGTAAAATTCAATAATAGGCTGGAGAAATTTTTCTAGTGTTTAGTAGATTATTTTTGGTTTTTCCAATAACATTAATTTCTGCATTCTTTCTTAATATAACTTCAAATGGGTCCTAGCCATGTCGTGTGTATGTGATTGACCACAGAGGCAGTCTGTCTGTGATTGGCTAAAGCTAGAAAAGTCATGTTTCCCTGGTCATGTGACCCATGTTAGCCAGGTGGCTTCATGTTGGAGCCGTGATGGTCGTCCGTTCTTGGCCTTTCATTCGAACTATTAAGAAAGAAGACTTCTCCTTTACTACTGCTCATAACTAAGGGAGCATAGAACCCTAAGACTGCAGGCCGTTAGCGTTCTTGGGACTAAAAGAGATCAGAAGAAAAAAAAAAAGAAACCAAGGAAGTAGAGGTGAGAAATGGAAAGAGGAAAACCGGATCCTGATCACATTGTTTAAACACTGCCTCAGACCGCATTTACTCCTGTACTGTTGAGTTGCATAAGCAATTAGGCTGATAAACTTTATTTTTACTTCGTCAGCCTATTTGAATTGGATTTCTTCGTTCATACAACATAAAAATCATAACATATATCTGGGGGGTCCAGAGAGAACAGTGCAGTGCAGTAAAGCTAATCCAACCTTAGGCTGCATTATTTTAAGTATAGTATCAACATCAAAGGATGGGGTACATGTATCCATCACCCCGTCTAGACAGTTTCTAGCTGAGGATGACCATCATGAGAAGAATTCTGTAGCCATATGATGAGAAATGGCTGATGAGAACTGGAGGTATTTCATCACAAGGTTAAAAGACTGTGAAGGAGAGGGATACCTGCTGTAAATTTCCAAACATTTTAAAAGGCTGTCTTGTAGGAAGGAAGAAGAGTTTTCCTCCTGGCCAGAGGAGGAGGAACTAGGACTTGTTACTTGGAATTGAGGAAAGACACATTTCATGCCAGCAAATTAGGAAGAACAGTTTGTAACACCTCAGGTACCCAATAATGGAGCATCCAACACTCCATCGTTGGAAGTGTTTACATAACAACTAGTTGACAACCTGTTGGAATTGTACCCAAATAATTCCTTTATTGAATAGGAGGTTGCCCACATGACTGTAATGTCCCTTCTAGCTTTCAGATTCTGAGTTTCAAAATCCTCCAAAACTTCTTTAGTCTCAGCCACAAATAAAGTACAAAACAAACTAACTCAGCTCCAATTCTCACTGCCTCTCTTGTCATGAGTTATCATGTGGTCCATAAGGTTAGGACCACACATACCCTTTCCTTCCTCCGACTGGTTCCAAGACAACATCCTGAGGAGTTAGTATAGCTTTGGTTGCTTATAATTTTTTGTGTAACTTGGTGGTTTAAGGTAATACAACTGATGTTACTTTGTTTCACATATATGTATATGCACATACACACACACACACACACACACACACACACACACACACATATATATATACACATTCATGTATATGAAACATTTCTGATTAGCCACATGGTGGATATTTTAATGAAATATTTGCTAACTTCTAAAAAGCAGGAGATTTTATTTTATTTTTTTAACTTAGATTTCTAGTTTTGCCTGGGGAATCAGAAGACTGGTACAGTGGATCCACATCCCCAAAGCAGCTGTAGCTATGCTGGGTAGCAGCTGCCTTCTTAAACCTGGCGTATTCTCTGTCAGTTTGCCAAAGTCTCCACTAGTTCCCCACCAGGCTGGCTTTACTCGTCCACATCCTGTCTACCCCAGTGGGCTCGTAAGTGTGTGATCCCTGGCCTGTGTTGCTTTCTTCCCTACCAGCCCTCACTGCTGGCAGTTCCCACAGCAGCCATCATGAGTGGGAGAGTATTAAGACATGGAAGCATGCTGTGTAAGGCTTTCTCAGACCCAAAGAACATGAGAGAGAAAAAACACAAACACTTCATTCCCACCCATGAATTTTCTATTAAAATGTTTTTATTTTAAAAAAATACATATAAGCTGGGTGTGGTGGCTCACACCTGTAATCTCAGTGCTTTGGGAGGCCAAAGTGGGAGGATCCCTCGAGGCAAGAAGTTTGAGATCAACCTGGGGTAACATAGGAAGACCTTGTCTTACAAAAAATTAGAAAATTAGCTGGGCATGGTAGGGTGCACCTTTAGTCCCAGCTCATCGGGAGGCTGAGGTGGAATGATCACTTTTGACCCCAGGAGTTCGAGGTAACAGTTAGCTTTGATTGTACCACTGCACTCCAGCCTGGGCAACAGAACAAGACCCCATCTCTAAAAAAAAGTAAAATAAAAATTAATATAAAACGTGGAACTTTTCACCAGTGGAGATGAGTGAATAGAATATATAGTCTGCCGATTTATAGAAGTATGGCATCTGGATATAAGTTAAGTTTCTTTTCTCATTAATTCCCCTGTTAGCAGTTGCTAATTATTATTATCAAAGTCGGCTTGCTGTTCCCCAGGGCCTGTAGTACAAGCATATGACTTCCTTCCTGTTGAGTAGTGGTTTCCAGAGTGTGTTCTGTCAGGATAATTGTTCCATTGACTTGAAATGAAAAGAGAATCCTGGTCAAATGAATTTGGGAAAAGCTAGGTTAAGTAAAATGGCTTCAGGTCAGTTGGCCGAAAATCAATTATGGAAAGCCAATTCATCAAAAGCCAGTTCACTGTACACCAAGTCCACGAAGAGCCTAGTTTTCAGATATGCACATTTACCCATGACGATTTAGTAGCCCTGTCTACTAAGTGTTTGATCCTGTTTTGCTGACAATGAAAGATGCTTTTCTGAATATAGTCATGCATTGTTTAATAATGGGGATACGTTCGGAGAAATGCGTCATTAGATGATTTTGTTGTCACGCAATCGTCATGAAATGTATTTACACAAACCTAGATTGTGAAATCCTACTACACAACTAGACTATATGGTGCTCCTTGGCTACAAACCTGTACAGGACATTATTGTACTGAATGCTGTAGCCAGTTGTAACACAGTGGCAGGTATTTGTGTATGTAAACATAGAAAAAATAGGGCAAAAATATGTCATAAAATTTAAAATTATATAGGTGCATAGGGCAGCTCCAGTATAATCTTGTGGAACAACTATTATCACATATGCAGTCCATTGACTGAAATGTTATGTGGCACATGACTGTATTAACTAATATTAAGATGTTTCCTGTCTGAGGTATCAGTAGAAAAGAAAATTCTAAAATGCTGGAAGGCTGACAACAGAATTCGGCATCATTTGAACAATTCCTATATGAAATACAATTTTTCTACCTGAAGTTTTGGCATTTCATATGTGACAGGATTGTTTCAACTACATTTTATTTTTTTATATGCTTTAAAAATGTTATTTTATTTTGTAAAGAATTTTTAATGTTCTTTCACCAATTTGTAAATAGTTTAACCTTAATTTTGTGTTTCCGTCCGTTTAGAATTTGAATTAGATCTAAGTTAATTTAAAATTCTGATGTCCTTGAGATGCATTTGAATTTACATTTAACTTAAATGTTTAATTGTTAGAAATACACAATAAAGGCCAGTAGGTCATGGAGGAAATGAGGGAAAGTAAACCTTAGAATGCTTAAAATTTTAAGCAAAGTTAAAAATGATATCCAGAAATGTCCAAAAGAAACCAGAAGTAGTCTAAAAATCTCATTTGTAAAATCTTCTCTGTTTATATTAATGTGTGCTCTACTCACTTTTTGGCTATTTAATTTTCTTTTGCAACTTGCACATTCCTATCAAAACTTTGAAAACAATCCCATTGTGAGTATTAAATCTTTATTTTAAAAAAGTTGGTAAATTTAGTAACATCGGCAAATTAACAGTTCATCAAATTGGTCTTTCAGCAAATTGACCTGTATTTAAATGAAGTCAAAATGGTTTATATTCTACAGAACTTCTCAGAGCTTTTAATAACTTAATGTATGTTTTGAATCTGTAAAAGGGACATCAAGAATGACAGTATCTCCCAAAGTTAAGTAACTGGACAACTCACGGTCTGTGAAATGCTTTCATGCAGTATAGTTTGGAAGTGCGCAGCTACCCAAATGCCAAGCCTTGGCTCTCTGCACTGCTTCTAGGATCTGTATTTAAAAGTCCCGTTAATTAGTTGAAAAAAAAAGTTTGGCCTTATATCTCATTTTTAAAATAAAAAGCAGTGGGTTTCTTCTCCCCCTGGGATCCCTCCCTTTTCCTTTCAGACCTGCTCCTTAGCTGCAACTTTGTTTTTTTTTTTTAACCATGTCTGTTTTCAATACTTCTCAGAGTTATATTTATTACCTCTATGTAGTATTTTTAGATTTAAGTTTCTTACAACTGAAGAAGTGGTCCATTCCTAGGTATGAAAAATAAAGATCTAGCTTTTATTATGTTCTTTTCTCTATTCTACATCTCTTTTTCCATGAAGGTAATAGTACTTTAATTCTTTTATTGGCAACCTGTGACACCTCAAACACTATATTGAAATTTCTATTTCTTGTTCCATCAACTTCAGGCAGTATCTCTTGATTTCCCACTATTAGATTGAGATTTAGTACTCTTGTTCTTGGTGGAGAATTAGAATATAAAATTCTCCATTCAAAATAATTTTCAATGAAAATTTCAAAAGCCTATTACACGGTCTCGTAAGATCTGTTATTTCTGATGCTTCTTGGCTTCTGGATCCTTTGTCAATCACCCGTTTTATCTTTTCTGTAAGGTTTTAGGCTCTGCTCTGCTCTTTGATGTTCTGAAAGTTCACACTGATGTATTCGGCATGGGTATCTTTTTCATTCCTACAAGACCCTTTTATTTTAAACATTCTTGTCTTCCTTTAGCTCTGGGAAAAGTTTTCCCTATTTTTTCCTTTTTAATTTTATTTCCTCTGTTTTTCTGTTCTTTCACTCTGAAAGTGCTGGTTATCACATGTTAAACTTCTCTTTTTCTAGTGTCTGGGCCTTTTGCTTTATGCTCTAGGGATTATCCCTGACTTCATTGTGCAGACATTTAATCAAAATTTTATCTCTTAGGAAACTTATTGTTTTAATAATTCACAAGAACTCTTTCTTGTTTTTGGATAGTTCCTTTTTCATGGCTCCCTATTCTTATTTTGTGGATGCAGCATCTTCTTGAGTCTCTCAAAGGATAATTGGTCATTTAAAAAATTGTTTTTTTTTTCTGAATGAACTGAGTGTTCTTCATTTTTCCCCCTGCTTATTAATTCTGCTTTCTCTTGCTCCAAGCTTTTCTTGAATTTTAGATGCTTCTTGGTTGTCCGTTCATATTTTTAACAACTTTATTGAGCTATCATTCATATACCACATAACTGACCCACTGAAAGTACACAAATCACTGGGTTTTACTGTAGTCACATAGTTGCGTATCCATCATCACAATCAATTTCGGAACATTTTAATTACCCTCCCCCAGAAAACTATGCTCCTTGGCTGTCACCCCCTCATTCTCTTACTGTCGCCCCCGCCTCCCCAGGAAACCGCTATCCATTCCTGTTTGAAAATAAAGGTTAGAAAGGCTGGCCTGGGCTGGGCACAGTGGCTCATGCCTGTAATCCCAGCACTTTGGGAGGCCGAGGTGGGCGGATCACGAGGTCAGGAGATCGAGACCATCCTGGCTAACACGGTGAAACCCCGTCTCTACTAAAAATACAAAAACTTAGCTGGGCGCTGTGGCAGGCACCTGTAGTCCCAGCTACGTGGGAGGCTGAGGCAGGAGAATGGCGTGAACCCGGGAGGCGGAGCTTGCAGTGAGCTGAGATAGCACCACTGCAGTCCGGCCTGGGCGAAAGAGCGAGAATGTCTCAAAATAATAAAAATTAAAATAAAATAAAAAGGCTGGCCTGGTGCTGTGAGGGTTTCAAAATGAGAGTGAGTGAGAAGGCAGTGATTGGCAAGGAGAGGGCAGAGACAGAGGTCAAGCAGAGCTCACCGCCCAGAAAGCCAGGTGTGGCATCAGGACCTCAGAGAGCCCTGAGAGGGGCTAGTGCTGCAGACGAGCAATCAAGCCATTCCACTGTGATCTGCCTCACTTCCAAGTTCAGGATTCAGAGGACATTCTGAATAGATGTCCTCCCATAGATGATAATGCAACGCCTCTAGATTTTAGGTTTCATACGGGTGGGATTGTATGTCTCCTGCACAGCTTTATTTCCTGCACCTCACATAGCATACATTAAGTATTACAGATTTATAGAGTAATTCAACATCATGTATTTATATAATTATAGTTTGAGATGTACATTTATATACGTACCTCTTATTTGAGATAGGCAGGTGTGCAAAGTTAGATTCACCATGACACTAACGAGACTTAAACTGTAGGGCCTTCCACTTGCAGGAGCCCCTTTGAAAACTCTGTTCCCATTTCTGCATTTGTCAACTTGGCATTCTTAAAGAAGGTATACAAAATGTTAGGCATCAGAACACCTAAACCTAGACCTACATGTATCTAGATATAGCAGAAATTATGAGTCCCCATTTAGAGCTCTGAAAGCTGTGGCTCAGAGAGTTGAGCACCTCACCCAAAGCCACACATCTAGGAGGTGGGAGAACATTTCTTACCTGAATGATTTCTCCCACCATTAGCCCTCCTCATCCCCCGCAGGGTGAAGGTGTGGCTTCCAACTGATGCCTATTCCCAGGACACCAGCCACTGGAAACGGTGCAGGACCTGGGTTACACCCAGAGCAGCCCTGATGCTGACTCTTCATGGGAGGGGTCTGTGCCCCCTAAGCCCACAGGCTTCCCCTCTGTCCAATATGAACCAAGCGAGGAGAGCCCATGCACCCCACCCACACACCTGTCATTGCAATTTTAGTTGTGAAATAACTTCAAAAATATTTTCTTTGAACAAAAGAAATACTGCATCTTTTCCACTTCTGTTTCTGGATGACACTTTTAATCTCATGTTGTTTCATGGCCTTAAAATAAAATGTAGGACCTAAGGGGAATGGAAAAAAAAGTCAGAGATCATATTTTCAACTGCCAACTAATTCGATGATACTCCCTGGTGGGAAAATCAATGTCTGCCCTGCAGAGGTGAATCACACATTCCATTGTGTTATGCCGTTGACTTCCTTTCTTCTTTGAAAATTAACTTTACCCTCCATGCTTTTCAACCTTTCAGTGAAGTATATTTCATGCCTTGCCTTTCCCCAGACACAAATGTATGTGTTCTGAGTAGAAACCTGAGCTGGCGGTGCCTAGAGGAGATAGTCTGAGTGTTTCAGAGGATTGAACTGAATTCCCCGGGGGTGGACTAGAAGTCTCCGGGTGTCTCGGGCTGAGTTTCCAAAGACCTCCCGGCACCTAAACTAATGTGGAAATTGGCTCCTGGAAATTCTTTTTCCTGAAGTTATTGATCCAGTGAGATTTGGGAAGGCTAAAGTCTCCTGGGTACTAACACAGTGTGATAAAAAATGCGAAGGTTGCAGAGGCTTCTTTTCTGTGCTTCTTCCCTCGTGTACGTGCCCTCATCTCCCACGACTGCAGGACAGAGAATCACCCAGACCTGGTGCTGCCTGCTGCTTGTTCAGGCCATAGAATGCCTCTTCCCTGGAGGTCAATAGCCACTGCTCTAGCCCCTTTGCCCAGCCTCTCAGGCTTGCCACCGAGGACTTTCCCAGAATCCAAGAAGCAAACAGGGAGGATGCCCTGCACTACGGGGGATTTCTAGGACCCGTCTCCCAGCTGTGGCTGCCATCTCTTCTTCATCTTCTTCCTCTCCTTCTTCTTCTTCTTCTTTTTTTTTTTTTTGAGACAGAGGCTCACTCTGTCAAGTAGCTGGGATTACAGGTGCCCACCATGCCTGGCTCATTTTTGTATTTTTAGTAGAGATGGGGTTTCACCATGTAGGCCAGGCTGGTCTCGAACTCCTGACCTCAGGTGATCTGTCCACTCAGCCTCCCAAAGTGCTGCCACTGCGCCCAACTACTGGCATCTCTTCTGATTGGTCAGTGACGATGCCGTGTCTTAGGTAATTGACTATCAAAATATTAAATAATTAAGTTGTGGATAATTTGAAAGATCATCCCCACTCCTGAAAAATCCTGTTGAAATGGACAATAGGCTGTTTCATCTGTTTGATGCCCTGGTTCCTTGGCAAACCAGAAGCCAAGTTATCCACTTAAAGGTTGAATTCCCGGGGCTCTGCTCAGGGCGTGCTTGTCGTTTTGCTTTGCCTTGTCAAGGTTTCATCAACACTGGTGACACAAAATGAGACATTGAAGCCATCACTGAAACCGAGTCGGGACATTGCTGTGAGTGTAGGACCAGTCCCCTGCTGCCAGTGAGTGCTCTCTGAGTTCTACTTCCTTATAAGAGCAGGTACAAGCCCTGAAGAATGGATGCCACAAGCAAGGCCAGCTTTCATCTGTCAGCAGCTTCACATGTTTAGGACGGTCCACTGACTAGAAATACGCATCCTAGAGAGGTGCCCAGCAGCGGATGGAACACACAAACCCCAACCGACTCGGAGCATTTGTGCCTTAGGTGGCCTTTGGCTGAGCCTGGAATTAACCTTCATAAACACAGACTCCTCTCTCAAGAACTTGCCTTGCACGAAGACGGCTCCCTATGGCCAGCCCTGAATGTGCTATTGTGAGTGCATGGTCAGTTCAGGACCGCACGGAGGATGGGAAGGCCAGTGGCTATGCGAGGGGAGCACAGGGATGCGGGTTTTCAGACTCGTTTGAAATCAGCTTCAGTTTCTCCTCAGCTCAACTGAAACCAGGCTGTCTTGGACTGTATCATAGCACTGGCTTCATTTTCTCTCATCCTCTTCAAGCTCCTGCTTCTGTTTATATCCAGCTGAAACTCTCATCCTTCTCTCCTGGCCACAGAAGTAGTTAAAATAACCAAATTGCCAATGATTCGTTTTTGCCAAAGGATATTTTTCGATCTTGGAGACGTCTATGAGGGTCAGATGGGTGGCTAATGTTTGGTAGGAGTTGGGAGTTGAGGTGGGGGTTCTTGGTTCTGGCAGGAATGAGCCTTTGTTGTCTCTCGACCCTCTCTGAGAGCAGAGAGAGCATTAACTAGCAAAGCAAGTTTTCGCTGTCCTCTTAATTCCTGCCCACAGGCACTGTTAACGCTAACAAGTCACGTCGACGGAGAACAGAAGGAAGACCAGCCATGATAATGTCCAGAGAGGATCAAACACCTTGGCCTCCTGCTAAACCCTGGATTGTTCAGAAGGACTTGCATCAGGGCGCTGATACCTGTTTTTCCTAATGATCCCATACAGTCCAGAGAGTGTGTGGGATCATTAGAAAGGTCCCCTGCCCCTGCAGATTGTTCTTGAGGCCTTCCTAAAACTGGGGTGTTAGAGTACCAAGCTTGTGCAGAATCGAGACCGGGCCATCTGGTATCAACCATGAGACAGTCCCTAGTGTAAAGGGAGCTTGGAGTGAAAGGGAATTCCATGTTTGTTACTAATTTTCTCTGTGCCAGGCTAAAAATATTTCAGCAGATTGTCTCATTTGAGCTCTATAATATCCTTGTCAAGTATGTATTTTTATCCCCATTTTACCCATGAGAAAACTGAAGCTCAGAGAAATTAAGAAACCTGCCTCAGGGGCCGGGCACGGTGGCTCACGCCTGTAATCCCAGCACTTTGGGAGGCTGAGGTGGGCAGATCACGAGGTCAAGAGATCGAGACCATCTTGGCCAACATGGTGAAACTCCGTCTCTACTAAAAATACAAAAATTAGCTGGGTGTGGTGGCGCAAGTCTGTGGTCCCAGCTACTCAGGAGGCTGAGGCAGGAGAATCACTTGAACCTGGGAGGCAGAGGTTGCAGTGAGCCAAGATTGCGCTGTTGCACTCTAGCCTGGTGACAGAGCAAGACTCCCTCTCAAAAAAAAAAAAAAAAGGAAACCTGCCCCAGGAACTAGGATTTGAGCCCAAGCATATCCAACTCCAAGTCTCATGCATTTTCTACCGTGCCACTCTTCTTTTGGTAAAAGGTGACAAATTTTTAAAAATGAAAGGAATAGTTGCCCTTATGTATCTGTAAGTTCACTTTCTCATATAATGGAAAAGGCCCATGTTCCTATAACGTGGGAATGTCTTCCCCAAGAGACTCACTATATGAATTGTTGATTTGATGGATGGCCCTATGCGCTTATGTATGCATGTTACCCACCAAATGCTGCTGTCATTTAGTGGGACAAAAATGTAACCCCATACCCTAAAAGACCTTGTCAATAGCCAAGGCAGAGCCTGGGCCTAAATGACACTAGGATCTCCCTTTCTGGCCTCCCATGTACGGGCTGAAATGGTGATTACTCCCTGTGTTGCCGTGATCCTCCGAACAGGAAGATTGCTCCACTGGGGCTGCTCAGAACTGTGAAATGAGGTTGGCTAGGATGTCTATTATAATTTGCTTCCTAAATTTTCAGCTTACCCACCTGCCACTACAGTGTTCCTCAGAGGACGTTAAGATGTAGTATCAGAGAACAGAAGTTCATTCTATTAGAGTCAGGTATGAGTCCTGGCAGTTAAAGGATGCAAAGGTTAGTAGGGGGCTGGGGTGAGCCCATCCTCATTCACAGTGGTCCAATGAGCAGGCAGCTCTGATACGATTTTGGAACTCAGTGTTCGCATGCTTACCTGCCTGTCTGGACCATTTTTACTCCCGGATATCGTGACAAAGGTCAGCCACTTCCATAGGACTGTCAGTATATCCGTGCATAGCTCACAGACGTGCAAGCAGAGCCTTCCCAGGGGTGTATGAGAGGTCAAAGAAATGCATTTAAATGCATCAGAATTGTGACTGAGGATGTCAGAGGCTCTGAAGAGCATTCCTTTATGAGGAAGCTTGCCACAGTCAGGCAGCTGGGACTCAAAGCAGATTCAGCTGGCTCAGCCCTGTTCCTTCCCCTCTATTCATAGGTTCAGGTGAAGAAAGGGCCTTAAGTGAAAAGAGGACTCTGTGATCAAATTAGTTTGGGAAACTGTAGGTTAAATAAGGTTACTGCAGGATGTCCCAGAACCTTTACAGTACACTTGATTCTAAAATAAAAAGCCCATGTTTTTATACTTCAATGTTTCTAAAATTAGAGTAAACTTTGGAATCAGTGTCAGAAGCGGGGATGGGCATAGAGCAAGTTAAATGAGGTGCATGGGGTGCAAGATTCATGCGGGTGAGACCCTGAGAGTGAGTGTGTCTGGCTTCTCACGCCAATGAGCTCCCGGCCCTGGCCAGGACGCTGAGGTTGTCCCTGCCTGCACAAGATGCAGGGACCTAGCCAGTCTTTGTACATGCTTGCCCATTTGATGGCACCTCAGGTGAGTTCTTAAAATAGGGAGTCCACCAAAGTTGAATTTAACTTAGATCCCTTCATTTGCTACACCTTGCAGTGGAAAAACTTGGCAAACACTACCTTAACTAAGGGATCAGGTTAGCTTCACAAGTGAGGCCATGTGGCTGCCACGTCCCCTGTGATAGGATGTAATGAGAAGGGTACTTTACTTCTGTGGCATTTTTTACAAAAATACCTCCATTTAGTCTTGAGAAAAGCAAGAGAGAAACACAGATCAGAGTACATTGTACAGTACATTTGGCCAGGACGCTTCAAGACTGTCAAGAAAAGATTGAGAAACTGCCACAGAGCAGAGGAGACTGAGGCAACATGACAACTGAATGCATTGTTGTCAGAACAGAACATAAAAGAGACGTGGGTAGATGCACGGGTGAAATCTAAGTAAAGCCTGGGGTTTAGTTAATAGTCACATACCAACATTTGCTTCTTAGTTTTGACAAATGTTCCTTGGTAATGTAAGATGTTAGCAACAGAGGACTGGGTAAAGGGTGTATAGGAACACTCTACTATCTTTGCAACTTTTCTGTAAATCTAAAATTATTCCAAAATGTGTATTTTAAAAACATTGTTATGAATCAGCATTATAAAAGCAGGTTTTTTTTTTTTTTTTGTCACATATTCCGGGCAGTAATTAAAGGCAACAGAGATTGCCAAATGTCTAGGAATGGATCGTGGAAGCTTCACTGTGCGGAGAAGGTGGTTTGACAGTTCTTGGAATGCTGATTCCCCCATTATGAAGAACTATCACTCCATCTCCAAGAATCTGTCAAGAGCTTCCAGCTGACACTTAGCAAAGTCAATACCTTTCAGTCACGTTATTCAATTAAGGAAAATATGAAACAATAAGCTTATAAAAAAAGGCACATGAAACTTGAATATTTCTTTACAGGATTCAACATTATGTTGTTTATTCTAAGGATACAAAGGAGACCAAGATCATAAGTTTATGAAAAGCAACTTGTCCCTCTAAGATTCCATATAACTTCTAATGGTCAAAAGTGACTCAGTGAACCCTTAGACTCAGATGGCAAAGAGTGATTAGATGCAAACTGTAACTGAGATACTAAAGAAGAAATCCTGAGTGCTCATCTAGATAAATGTAGGCTCTTACTGTGTGTTAAAAACAAAACTATATTACTTATAATCAGGTGTCGTCTTCTCCTCAACTCTCAAAAAAAAAAAAACAAAAAAAACATTAAATCGATGAGGAGCTTAAAACTGATGATGTCTTAGAATCTTAGAAATAAGACAGGGGTGGAATGCATTGTCCCAAACTTAACTGCCCATGGAACCCTGGAGTTCCATGGAACACACTTTGGGAAAGATTGCTCCATCCTGTTTGCTGCCTGTTCATTTGATGTCGGATAAATTCCCAGCCTGAAGGCTGTCAGGGTTGCAGCCATTAAATTTCAGAAGGATTGTGCTAGGCAGACATCTTTTATTGAGAAGATCTGAACCCAGAGACACTCATTATATAAACGAGCCCCGAAGGGTGAGACCCAGCCTCTTGACCAGGCATTATTGAGCCAGGCTTTAGGTTAGATGAGACAGACAGATCCTTTCTGGACTGAATGTGGTAAAAGATGCCCCAGACCTGCCCATTCATTAGAAAGTAAGCCCAAAAAGCGTGGAGGTAGACAAAGTTGGCAAAGGCCTCCCCTCCCTCCTCCAAGAAAGGCAGTGAGCTTTAGGAAACTGATATCTGTTACTCAGAGAAAAAACAAACTGTACTCTTTGACCGTTGATTTAGGCAATGTCCGGCAAAGTTTCCAATTCAAAACGCCCAAATTAGGAACCAAGATTATCCCTCACACACGTGCATGCACACTTAAATCATTTGGCCATCTCCAGAATCAGTGCCATTTTCAGGGCCAGTTTGAGGGGTGGCCACAAAACCTGACTTGGCCGTGTTTTCTGTTCCCTTGTCAGTGATGAGTTGAAGTGTCGTTTCAGCGGCTGCCCTCACAAAGGATCTATTAATACAAGCCACTGCTCCAGACTTGACCTCCAGTCACTGGAAAACATTGAAAACAACTTCAACCAAATGAAAAAATACTCTGGCGAACTTGGTCCAAACATCGACAACCTTTGTGTGAGTGATGCTAGAAAGTGGTCTGTGTGGCAGGTGCGTTTCTCACTGATGGAAACTTCAAGTTGTTAGTGGTTCTTCTGGGACAAGACTGTAAGGGCAGTTGCCCCTGCTGTGGCAGAATAGCACATGAGAAAGTTACCCAGGTACCTGGTTTACCCCGAAATATTCATGTCTGAGGGTGTGAGAGGACCCATGGCACTTATCAAAGGTCTTGGCCAAATGCTAGCTCCTTCCCATTGGTGAAGATGAGGAAAAATTGCTTGCTATGCATATGTCATGGCTAGCATTCCATCATTGTTAACAGAGCAGCTACATTTTAGCCAGCTCATCGTTTGAGGCCTTTTGTGTACCTCTGTTGTGAAGGACAGTAATTTATTAGTCTCAGTAAGATACAGAACTGTCATCATGGAAAAGAATAACTGAGGGTGAGGCCCTGCTAAAATATTGGGGAATCTGTCATTCACACAAACGTGGAACCGGATTTCTGAAGTCCAAATGCTGTTTACTTGGGATTAGCTCTAGTTTGGTAAAGAGGTACGTGAAGTTTGGATGAGGTTGTTGATACTGCTGTTTGTGGTGAGAGAAACCAGGCCAACACTTGTGATCTGTAGCGAGGAGGGGGGCAGGACCAGCTGGCAAGAGGCCACCCACCAAGAATCTATGTCTTGCTCTAAATGCCAATTCTAAAACTCAACATGGGCACTGTGGAGGTTAGGAGGTGACATGAGGAGAGGAAGAAGAAAGAAATACCTGTCTCTTCTGGTTTAGAGATAGGTGTTGCCTATCTCAAGTGAGATTTTAGTGAATCTTCATACAGCTGGTGCCACTCTAGCAAACTGTAAATCTTATTAGTGGGTGGGTGTTGCCAGGAAAATCTGTTATCGCTAAGCTTTCTACTTCCTACAGTAGTCTGAGCAATATCTGTTGATTACTATCTGTCACCAATTTTTGGCCCAGAAACTTCCCCAGAGGGGTATTCTCTATAGAGTTACAGAAGAAAAACAGCAACATGGTGCCCAGGCCAGTTGCCTACCCACACACTGATAAGGTTTGGTTGTGTCCCCACCCAAATCTCACCTTGAATTATAATAATCCCCACATGTCAAGGGCAGGGCCAGGTGGAGATAATTGAATCATGGAGGCAGTTTCCCCCATACTGTTCTCCTGGAAGTGAATAAGTTTCACAAGATCTAATGGTTTTATAAGTGGGAGTTCACCTCAACAAGCTCCCTTGCCTGCCGCCATGTAGGACGTGCCTTTGCTTCTCCTTTGCCTTCCGCCATGATTGTGAGGCCTCCCCAGCCATGTGGAACTGAGTCCATTAAACTTCTTTCCTTTAAAAATTACCCAGTCTCAGGTATGTCTTTATTAGCAGCATGAGAACAAACTGCTGAGATCATCTTCCACTAGTTCTCAGTATATCTTCATACTATGTTATGTACAATCTTTTTTGACATGTAATTCATATAACATATAATTACTCATTTAAAGTGTACTACTCAGTGGCTTTTAGCATATTTACAGAGTTCTGCAATCATCACCACAATCAATTTTAGAACATTTTTATCACCCCCAAAGAAACCCCATACTCATTAGTCATACCCCATCTCCCCAGCCCCCCAGTCCCTAGATAACCATTAATCTGCTATTTATCTAGATTTGCCTATTCTAGACAGTTTATATAAATGGAATTATAAAATATTTGCTTTTTTGTGGCTGACTTATTTCACTTAGCATAGTTTCAAGGTTCATGCATGTTGTGGCATGTATCAGTATTTTCTTTTTTTGCCAAGTAATATTTTATGAATGTTGCATATTTATCTATCAAGTGATGGACATTTGGGCTCTTTCTACTTTTTAGCTATTAAGAATAATGCTGTGAACATGTGTGCACAAGTTTTTATATAGAAATATATTTTAATTTTTTTCAAGTGTATATCTAGAGTGGAATTACCAGATCATATGGTAAGTATGCAATTAATATTTTGAGGAACTGCCAAACTGCTTTCCAAAGTGGGTGCATAATTTTACATTCCCACCAGTAATATATGAGAGTAATACGGAGAGTACCTCTCCATATCTTTGCTACCACTTGTTATTACATGTCTTCTTGATTTTAGCCATTTTAGTGGATGGGCGGTAGTATCTCACTGTGGTTTCAATTTGAATTTGCCTGTTGTCTCATCCGTGAAAGGGCCCTAGTGTGGAACCTCAGGAGAATGGAAACTCCCCCTGCTGTGTTTAATCTTATATCCCTAGGGCCTAGAATAGTGCCCAGTGTACAATAGGCTCCCAATAAATACTTGTTGATTGATTAAATATTCAATACTTCCATTATTTAATCCCTAGAATTAAGTTAGCTTCTTATAGGTTAGTTATAAGGTGTTCTGAAACCATATAAGTGAACTTTTCATACTATCTCACATTAAAATCTGTTGACCTATCTTAAAAAAAAAAAAGTGATTGTCTTCCTTCTGGAGGGCAGTACAGAAAAAAAAAAAAAAAAGCCAGGCTAAGAAGGTGAAGAGGACAACTCTTGGGTAAGTGTGAGTTAGTAAGTAGAATCAGAAAAACTGGCCGGGCGTGGTGGCTCATGCCTCTAACCCCAGCACTTTGGGAGGCCGAGTCAGGCAGATCACCTGGGGTCAGGAGTTCGAGACCAGCCTGGCCAACATGGCGAAACCCCATCTCTACTAAAAATACAAAGATTAGCTGGGCGTGGGGGCTCATGCCTGTAATCCCAGTTACTTGGGAGGCTGAGGCACAAGAAATGCTTGAACCCGGGAAGCGGAGGTTGCAGTGAGCCCGAGATCATGCCACTGCACTCCAGCCTGGGCGACATGAGACCCTGTCTCAAAAAAAAAAAAATCAGAAAAACTGACATCCATGTCCTAATATGTATCAGAAGCCTCTTCTATCTGCATCAGGTTTTCTCCAAAGATTTACATCTTACTGGGATAAAAATGTGTACATGTACCCAAACATTACACCATGCCCTATAAATTTGTACAATTATTATTTGTCTATTAAACATACAATAAAACTTTTAAAATGTCAAAAAATAAGCACATAATGACCTATCATCAAAAAAAAATAATGTGTTCAAGTGTTTCATTAACTATAAAATGCTTCAGAGGTGTATGACTTCCTTTCTTTTTATTGGAAAGGGACATGTAGATGGCTCTAACAATACAGCAAACCTGCAAATGAGGTGAATCTATATTTTCTAGAAGGTGTCATTTCATTTTCAAGGTACTGAAGAACCAGATATCCTTTAATAATGTTAATTTATTGAAGAATTTTGAGGTTATAAAATGTTAATGCACCTCTCTAGTCTTTCACACTTTACTCTGGAGAGAATTGCATTTTCCCTGGCCCGTCTTAAGGAGCAAGCAATATTGAGGTGGGAGGGGACAGAGGGAGAAGGACAGAGTGTCTTTATTTAATATGTGGATAAAGACTAGGAATTTGCATTGCTTTTTATTCCTTTCTTTCTGTTCAGTATTCCTTTTCATCTTTTTTTCCCTATGGAAATAAAAAGGTAGTACTTTCATATCTCCTTAAAATGACTAAATGTAGAATTTAACCTTTCTTTCCTCGTGTCTGCCCACTTCAGGCTTTAGGGCACAACTCTGTGCTGCAAAATGATAAAGAATCCTGGTTAGATGGGCTCAGCAGCAGGAGAGGACAGATTAGAAGACAGAAGACTGGGTTCTGGACTCGGCTCCTCATTAATTAGCTCTGTAACCACATGAGTGACCTCACATCTCTGGGTCTCAGTTTCTCACCTGGAAAATAAGTGTGATAAGGCAGGGCCCACCCAGCTCTTAGATTGCATAAATTTATGGCATAGCCAGTCAAAAAGCATTCATCAAGTGCCCTGCCAAATTCCAGGACACTCTTAGGTGGTGGGATGGGAAGGGGAACACACTTTCCTCCTTGGAAGATCATAGAGTAGGACATGATGCTGCTATGAGAGTGTGTGTCCAACCGAATTCAGCCAGCAGAGCAAAGGAGAAGCGAAATACCGGGAGTGCGTGTGGGAGGATTTTACTGTCTGGAAGAAGTGAGCCTTGAGCTGCATCTTGAGGAAACCATGGGATGTGGATTGGGGGAGAGGTCACGTGGGCCGGAGGCAAGTGGAATGGAGCAGAGAGCCCTGGGCCAGGCATCGTGAGTTCGAGGCATCACCCCAGCTCTGTAGCTAATGGGCAGCGCAGCCACAGGTGTCACCTCATGTATCTGGGCCTCAGTGTCGCTCTCTGTTGTGTTGATCATCTCTAAGGCTCACTGGAAGGCAGTAAAGATTAGTGACTGACAACAGGCTGTAGAGTCAGAGGGAGCTGGGGAAGGTCAGAGGTCCAGATTGCTGCACTTGGAAGCAGTGTGGCCTTGAACGTGCCGTTTAATCTCCCTGGGCCTCAACTTTCTCATCTACAGATCACAGTCATAACCCTGAAGTTTCTGTGAAAACGTGTGAGAGGCTCCGTTAGCGCAGTGTGAGTGCTCAACAGGTAGCAGCGGTGGCTGTCATTGTATTAAAGCTCTTCCGAGAGTGAAGCTGAATTAAAGGAGTGATATGGTTAGGTTTTGTGTCCCCACCCAAATCTCATCTTGAATTATAATCCCCATAATCCCCATGTGTCAAGGAAGAGACTGGGTGGTGGTAGTTGGATCATGGGGGCAGTTTGCTCCATGCTCTTCTCATGATAGTGAGTGAGTTCTCTTGAGATCTGATGGTTTTGTAAGCGTTTGGTAGTTCCTCCTGCATTCATTCTCCTTCCTGCCGCCCTGTGAGGAAGCTGCCTTGCTTCCACTTCGCCTTCACCTTTGCCGTGATCTTAAGTTTCCTGAGGCCTCCCCAGCCATGCGGAACTGTGAGTCAATTAAACCCCTTTCCCTTATAAATTACACAGTCTCAGGCAGTTCTTCATAGCAGTGTGAAAACGAACTAATATAAGGAGAGAGTTTTAAGGAAGCAACTTGATGAAATGGGTCATTTAAGAAACTTGGCGTGGGAAATAAAATGTAGTGTTTCCAGCCTTAATAAACAAGGAAATTTTGGCTGGATGCAGCGGCTCATGGCTGTAATCCTAGCACTTTGGGAGGCTGAGGCAGGAGGATCGCTTGAGCCCAGGAGTTTGAGACCAGCCTGGGCAACATAGTGAGACCCCTTCTCTATTTAAAAACCAAAACAAAACAAAAACAAGGAAATCCTGTCACATGCTACAACATGGATGAAGCTTGCAGACACTACGCTAAGTGAAGTCAGCCACAAAAAGATAAACACTATTTGATTCCAGTTATATGAAGTATCTAAAGCAGGCAAATTCAACGTAAAAAGGTGGTTGCCAGAGACTGGAGGGAGGAGAAATGGGGAATTGTTCAATGGGTATAGAGTTTCAGTTTTGCAAGATGAAAAAGTTCTGGATGACTGTTATACAACAGTGTGAATATACTTAATAGTACTGAACTGTACACCTTAAAACCTAGTGGCACAAATACATGATGCATATTCTTCCATTTTTATTTAACAAATATTTAATTAAATACAACATAGAAAGCAGATGCTAGGTACTAGATGTAGGAGCAGAGATAGATGATTAAGGCAGAGGAGGTCTTTGCCTTCATAGGAAGGTCGTTTAGGAGAAAATGACGTGGAGTTTTCGTAGAGTGACTTCAATTCTAGACCCAGATACGTCATTACTCAGGCAGTGACCTTGGGCAAGTTACTTAATTCTTCTAAACTTTAGATTTCTGTAGATGTAAAATAGGAATAATTAGTATCTGTCTCACAGATTGTCATAGGAATTAAAGAAAAATGTATTTAGAATAATGACACATGTTCAGCATGCTCAGTGAAGTTCTGTTTCTTGCTGTGCTCATCAATTCCTCTCTCACAGGGGCTTCCAGACTCATGGAACAGGTAGGAGAAAGCCCTACCCACAACAAAGCCCACAAAGGCATTTTTAAAAGCTGAACAGAGAGGGGGACAAGATGCCCAGGGAGGGCCACGCATGGCCTCGGCCCGCCTAGTGAGCCCCTTCCAGCCTGAAGACACAGAAGCCCTCCGCCCACCTAGTGAGCCCCTTTCCAGCCTGAAGACAGAGAAGCAGGCCAGATAGAGGGGCCGCCTGTCAATCTCATCCCAGGTGGAGGGGCCGCTTGCCAATCTCATCCCAGTAACTTCCCCCGTAGTAGTTTCCTCTAGATATGAGACTCAGGAACAACTGAAGAGGGACTTAAACCACAAGCCGAAGGTGTGGAGCCATCTAGAGGAGCTTGTTGGGAGCCGTTGTGGGTTTCCAAATCTAAGAGAACGTAGGGAGATGGAAAAAGCTTCCCAAGAGTGATGGCTGACACACGCTGGCAAAGATTACAGGGAGAGGTGGTGGAATTTCTTCCTTTAATGTCTGTCTTAAGGCAAAGCTGCATTCTCACGTGTCTGGGTGGCTGTTATGGGGTCTACTCTGAGAGTAACACGTCCATTCCTGCTGAGCTCTTGGCGAGTTTACATTTTCCTGTTTTGTTTTGGTTTTTTTCTTTTGAGACAGAGTCTTGTTCTGTTGCCCAGGCTGGAGTGCAGTGGCACGATCTCGGCTGACTGCAACCTCTGCCTCTCGGGTTCAAGCAATTTTCCTGCTTCAGCCTCCTGAGTAGCTGGGATTGCAGGTACACGCCGCCACACCCGACTAATTTTTTTTTTTGTTTTTTTTTTTTTGAGACGGAGTTTCGTTCTTGTTGCCCAGGCTGGAGTGCAATGGTGCGATCTCGGCCCACTGCAACCTCCATCTCCTGGGTTCAAGCAATTCTCCCGCCTCAGCCGCCCAAGTAGCTGGGACTACAGGCATGCACCACCACACCTGGCTAATTTTTGTATTTTTAGTAGAAACAGGGTTTCTCCATGTTGATCAGGCTGGTCTCCAACTCCCAACCTCAGGTGATCCGCCTGCCTTGACGTCCCAAAGTGCTGGGATTACAGGCGTGAGCCAACGTGCCTGGCTGCTAATTTTTATATTTTTAGTAGAGTTGGGGGTTTCACCATGTTGGCCAGGCTGGTCTCGAACTCCTGACCTCAAGTGATCCACCCGCCTTGGCCTCCCAAAGTGCTGGGATTACAGGCGTGAGCCACTGCGCCCGGCCTGAGTTTTCATTTTCAAAGATTACTTAGTACTTGGCTTGGTTGAGAAAACAATGCCTTCCTTTCATGTGTCGTTTCATCCAATCATCGATCCATTCATGTATACAGCTAACCTTTAGTGGGTGCCCAGTATGGAAAAGATACTTAGCTACAAAGCATCTCTTCCTTCGTGTCATTTGCCTAAATGGCAACCTATATTTTGGTCATCCTCCAACTGTGTGCAAAGATAATTTTGAGGGAACACCTCTATGCCAAGCTTGTGCAGGGTACCGCTGTTTCCCTACTTTGGGGAAGATTGCTAGATGGCATGGCCCTGATGCTTTCAGACACCCCAAGTAGCTGTGACTGAAGGGGGCAGAAGCCACAACTCTCCAGTCGTGAGTAGGGGAGGAAGCTGGTATGTAACAAAAAATGTGACCCTGGACCTTTGGGTCCTTAAGAGTCCAGAGCTGACATCTGCTGTCATTCTGGCCATGCCCTGCCCTGCGTGCGGTGCCTTCGGGAGCACGTGGGTCTCCCTGGTGCAGTCAGCTCTGGAAGTAAAACCTGGGAACTTTGCCCACCCCATAGTACCTGATACCCTGCCAGAGTTTTTGGTATAGTGCAGTTTTATCCTGGAGCAAGTTTGGTACTAAATCAGAGAAGTGCTTCCAATTTTCTTTCCTCATTTGGCGGTCTCACTGTTTTGCCTGTCCTCTCTTCTGCCCAATGAGAGAGCAGAAATCTCTACTTAAAGGCTTCCCTGAACGGTTGCCCAACAACTGAATTGAACGACTTGTGGGAAAAACAGATGAGAGAGAGTCAACAAGGTGGAAGTTGGAACTGTGAGAGCTTCTTGAATGAGTATCTGTGAATATTGTCCATATGGCTGAATTTGGTAAATCCTGCTGAGACTGTTGACATGAATGGGAGCTTTGCCTGAACAATGCATTTGGCCCAGGAAATCGCAGTAGTGCGCGGCGCTGACTTCAGATGTTTGGGGTTAAAGGAGGATGTGCCCTTCTTTCATTTCATCGCCTTCCCAAGGTGCACTTCTCCAGGGACGGATGCCTGGAGCCTTAGAAAAGAGAGAGAGAGAGCGAGAGCGAGCAAGCACGAGCGCGCGTGTGTGTGTGCACACGCACGTGTGGCAGAGAGCAAGAAAGCTTGGGGGAAGGGCAGAGAAGCAGGGACAGAGAAGGAGAAATGGATTTTGCAATCGTCCTGAACAATGTAGAAGAGATGAATCAGGTCCTCTAAATGCCATTCCTGTTACTGGTCACATTCCTTTTGTACTTTTTTATCCAGCTCTATTCCTCTGAAGCCAATGGCCTCTATCTTACTATATTTCACACCAAAGAACTGAGCACTCCCTCGTCAGGGCCCTTGTGCCTGTGGGAGGCAGAAAAAGAATGTCATAATTAGGGAGGCAGAGACTGAAAATCCCTTTGCTAGCACAGTGTCTGAGCACTTTGCCTCACCCATTCAGGACTGACAAGAACACGAGCAGGGGACATGTCTTCTTACCATGATCAAATTCTATTTATTAAGGACTCACTTGGATGCAGCCCTGTTCTAGTAGAGATTTGAAGAGAGTCTTTCCTAGGAAGATTTTTTTAAAAGAGGCTTATAACACATGTAAAAATGTCTTTTGATCACGGAGTTAAGAGGAACTATGGAGAGCCAAGTACAAAGTGGGCCCAGTGAAAGGGCCCCACTAGAGTCACTGGATGAGAGGTTGGTGGGATTGCTGCAGAGAATGGTAAGTGAGGCTTCACCCTCAGCGGAGGAAGTTAGCATCGTGCAAAGGATACCATAAGATGGTGTCAGCAGTAAAACAGCCGAGCTCCTCAGACTGAGGCAGCAACTAGAGGCATGCTGGCGGTGGCTTTTTTTTTTTTTCTTTTATTATTATACTTTAAGTTTTAGGGTACATGTGCACATTGTGCAGGTTAGTTACATATGTATACATGTGCCATGCTGGTGTGCTGCACCCACTAACTCGTCATCTAGCATTAGGTATATCTCCCAGTGCTATCCCTCCCCCCTCCCCCTACCCCACAACAGTCCCCAGAGTGTGATGTTCCCCTTCCTGTGTCCATGTGATCTCATTGTTCAATTCCCACCTATGAGTGAGAATATGCGGTGTTTGGTTTTTTGTTCTTGCGATAGTTTACTGAGAATGATGATTTCCAATTTCATCCATGTCCCTACAAAGGACATGAACTCATCATTTTGTATGGCTGCATAGTATTCCATGGTGTATATGTGCCACATTTTCTTAATCCGATCTATCATTGTTGGACATTTGGGTTGGTTCCAAGTCTTTGCTATTGTGAATAATGCCGCAATAAACATACGTGTGCATGTGTCTTTATAGCAGCATGATTTATAATCCTTTGGGTATATACCCAGTAATGGCATGACTGGGTCAAATGGTATTTCTAGTTCGAGATCCCTGAGGAATTGCCACACTGACTTCCACAATGGTTGAACTAGTTTACAGTCCCACCAACAGTGTAAAAGTGTTCCTATTTCTCCACATCCTCTCCAGCACCTGTTGTTTCCTGACTTTTTAATGATTGCCATTCTAACTGGTGTGAGATGGTATCTCATTGTGGTTTTGATTTGCATTTCTCTGATGGCCAGTGATGATGAGCATGTTTTCATGTGTCTTTTGGCTGCATAAATGTCTTCTTTTGAGAAGTGTCTGTTCATGTCCTTTGCCCACTTTTTGATGGTGTTGTTTGTTTTTTTCTTGTAAATTTGTTTGAGTTCATTGTAGATTCTGGATATTAGCCCTTTGTCAGATGAGTAGGTTGCAAAAATTTTCTCCCATTTTGTAGGTTGCCTGTTCACTCTGATGGTAGTTTCTTTTGCTGTGCAGAAGCTCTTTAGTTTAATTAGATCCCATTTGTCAATTTTGGCTTTTGTTGCCATTGCTTTTGGTGTTTTAGACATGAAGTCCTTGCCCATGCCTATGTCCTGAATGGTAATGCCTAGGTTTTCTTCTAGGGTTTTTATGGTTTTAGGTCTAACATTTAAGTCTTTAATCAATCTTGAATTGATTTTTCTATAAGGTGTAAGAAAGGGATCCAGTTTCAGCTTTCTACATATGGCTAGCCAGTTTTCGCAGCACCATTTATTAAATAGGGAATCCTTTCCCCATTGCTTCTTTTGTCAGGTTTGTCAAAGATCAGATAGTTGTAGATATGTGGCGTTATTTCTGAGGACTCTGTTCTGTTCCATTGATCTATATCTCTGTTTTGGTACCAGTACCATGCTGTTTTGGTTACTGTAGCCTTGTAGTATAGTTTGAAGTCAGGTAGCATGATGCCTCCAGCTTTGTTCTTTTGGCTTAGGATTGACTTGGAGATGCAGGCTCTTTTTTGGTTCCATATGAACTTTAAAGTAGTTTTTTTCCAATTCTGTGAAGAAAGGCATTGGTAGCTTCATGGGGATGGCATTGAATCTGTAAATTACCTTGGGCAGTATGGCCATTTTCACGATATTGATTCTTCCTACCCATGAGCATGGAATGTTCTTCCATTTGTTTGTATCCTCTTTTATTTCATTGAGCAGTGGTTTGTAGTTCTCCTTGAAGAGATCCTTCACATCCCTTGTAAGTTGGATTCCTAGGTATTTTATTCTCTTTGAAGCAATTGTGAATGGGAGTTCACTCATGATTTGGCTCTCTGTTTGTCTGTTGTTGGTGTATAAGAATGCTTGTGATTTTTGTACATTGATTTTGTACCCTGAGACTTTGCTGAAGTTGCTTATCAGCTTAAGGAGATTTTGGGCTCAGACGATGGGGTTTTCTAGATATACAATCATGTCGTCTGCAAACAGGGACAATTTGACTTGTCTTTTCCTAATTGAATACCCTTTATTTCCTTCTCCTGCCTAATTGCCCTGGCCAGAACTTCCAACACTATGTTGAATAGGAGTGGTGAGAGAGGGCATCCCTGTCTTGTGCCAGTTTTCAAAGGGAATGCTTCCAGTTTTTGCCCATTCAGTATGATATTGGCTGTGGGTTTGTCATAGATAGCTCTTATTATTTTGAAATACATCCCATCAATACCTAATTTATTGAGAGTTTTTAGCATGAAGGGTTGTTGAATTTTGTCAAAGGCCTTTTCTGCATCTATTGAGATAGTCATTTGGTTTTTGTCTTTGGCTCTGTTTATATGCTGGATTACATTTATTGATTTGCGTATATTGAACCAGCCTTGCATCCCAGGGATGAAACCCACTTGATCATGGTGGATAAGCTTTTTGATGTGCTGCTGGATTTGTTTTGCCAGTATTTTATTGAGGATTTTTGCATCAATGTTCATCAAGGATATTGGTCTAAAATTCTCTTTTTTGGTTGTGTCTCTGCCAGGCTTTGGTATCAGAATGATGCTGGCCTCATAAAATGAGTTAGGGAGGATTCCCTCTTTTTCTATTGATTGGAATAGTTTCAGAAGGAATGGTACCAGTTCCTCCTTGTACCTCTGGTAGAATTCGGCTGTGAATCCATCTGGTCCTGGACTCTTTTTGGTTGGTAAGCTATTGATTATTGCCACAATTTCAGATCCTGTTATTGGTCTATTCAGAGATTCAACTTCTTCCTGGTTTAGTCTTGGGAGAGTGTATGTGTCGAGGAATTTATCCATTTCTTCTAGATTTTCTAGTTTATTTGCATAGAGGTGTTTGTAGTATTCTCTGATGGTAGTTTGTATTTCTGTGGGATCGGTGGTGATATCCCCTTTATCATTTTTTATTGCGTCTATTTGATTCTTCTCTCTTTTTTTCTTTATTAGTCTTGCTAGCGGTCTATCAATTTTGTTGATCCTTTCAAAAAACCAGCTCCTGGATTCATTAATTTTTTGAAGGGTTTTTTGTGTCTCTATTTCCTTCAGTTCTGCTCTGATTTTAGTTATTTCTTGCCTTCTGCTAGCTTTTGAATGTGTTTGCTCTTGCTTTTCTAGTTCTTTTAATTGTGATGTTAGGGTGTCAATTTTAGATCTTTCCTGCTTTCTCTTGTGGGCATTTAGTGCTATAAATTTCCCTCTACACACTGCTTTGAATGCGTCCCAGAGATTCTGGTATGTTGTGTCTTTGTTCTTGTTGGTTTCAAAGAACATCTTTATTTCTGCCTTCATTTCGTTATGTATCCAGTAGTCATTCAGGAGCAGGTTGTTCAGTTTCCATGTAGTTGAGTGGTTTTGAGTGAGATTCTTAATCCTGAGTTCTAGTTTGATTGCACTGTGGTCTGAGAGATAGTTTGTTATAATTTCTGTTCTTTTACATTTGCTGAGGAGAGCTTTACTTCCAACTATGTGATCAATTTTGGAATAGGTGTGGTGTGGTGCTGAAAAAAATGTATATTCTGTTGATTTGGGGTGGAGAGTTCTGTAGATGTCTATTAGGTCCGCTTGGTGCAGAGCTGAGTTCAATTCCTGGGTATCCTTGTTGACTTTCTGTCTCGTTGATCTGTCTGATGTTGACAGTGGGGTGTTAAAGTCTCCCATTATTAATGTGTGGGAGTCTAAGTCTCTTTGCAGGTCACTCAGGACTTGCTTTATGAATCTGGGTGCTCCTGTATTGGATGCATATATATTTAGGATAGTTAGCTCTTCTTGTTGAATTCATCCCTTTACCATTATGTAATGGCCTTCTTTGTCTCTTTTGATCTTTGTTGGTTTAAAGTCTGTTTTATCAGACTAGGATTGCAACCCCTGCCTTTTTTTTGTTTTCCATTTGCTTGGTAGATCTTCCTCCATCCTTTTATTTTGAGCCTATGTGTGTCTCTGCTCGTGAGATGGGTTTCCTGAATACAGCACACTGATGGGTCTTGACTCTTTATCCAATTTGCCAGTCTGTGTCTTTTAATTGGAGCATTTAGTCCATTTACGTTTAAAGTTAATATTGTTATGTGTGAATTTGATCCTGTCATTATGATGTTAGCTGGTTATTTTGCTCGTTAGTTGATGCAGTTTCTTCCTAGTCTCAATGGTCTTTACATTTTGGCATGATTTTGCAGTGGCTGGTACCGGTTGTTCCTTTCGATGTTTAGCGCTTCCTTCAGGAGCTCTTTTAGGGCAGGCCTGGTGGTGACAAAATCTCTCAGCATTTGCTTGTCTGTAAAGTATTTTATTTCTCCTTCACTTATGAAGCTTAGTTTGGCTGGATATGAAATTCTGGGTTGAAAATTCTTTTTAAGAATGTTGAATATTGCTCCCCACTCTCTTCTGGCTTGTAGGGTTTCTGCTGAGAGATCCGCTGTTAGTCTGATGGGCTTCCCTTTGAGGGTAACCCGATCTTTCTCTCTGGCTGCCCTTAACATTTTTTCCTTCATTTCAACTTTGGTGAATCTGACAATTATGTGTCTTGGAGTTGCTCTTCTCGAGGAGTATCTTTGTGGCGTTCTCTGTATTTCCTGAATCTGAATGTTGGCCTGCCTTGCTAGATTGGGGAAGTTCTCCTGGATAATATCCTGCAGAGTGCTTTCCAACTTGTTTCCATTCTCCCCATCACTTTCAGGTACACCAATCAGACGTAGATTTGGTCTTTTCACATAGTCCCATATTTCTTGGAGGCGTTGCTCATTTCTTTTTATTCTTTTTTCTCTAAACTTCCCTTCTCACTTCATTTCATTCATTTCATCTTCCATCACTGATACCCTTTCTTCCAGTTGATCACATCGGCTCCTGAGGCTTCTGCATTCTTCACATAGTTCTCGAGCCTTGGTTTTCAGCTCCATCAGCTCCTTTAAGCACTTCTCTGTATTGGTTATTCTAGTTATACATTCTTCTAAATTTTTTTCAAAGTTTTCAACTTCTTTGCCTTTGGTTTGAATGTCCTCCCATAGCTCAGAGTAATTTGATCGTCTGAAGCCTTCTTCTCTCAGGTCATCAAAGTCATTCTCCGTCCAGCTTTGTTCCGTTGCTGGTGAGGAACTGCGTTCCTTTGGAGGAGGAGAGGTGCTCTGCTTTTTAGAGTTTCCAGTTTTTCTGTTCTGTTTTTTCCCCATCTTTGTGGTTTTATCTACTTTTGGTCTTTGATGATGGTGATGTACAGATGGGTTTTTGGTGTGGATGTGCTTTCTGTTTGTTAGTTTTCCTTCTAACAGGCAGGACCCTCAGCTGCAGGGCTGTTGGAATACCCTGCCATGTGAGGTGTCAGTGTGCCCCTGCTGGGGGGTGCCTCCCAGTTAGGCTGCTCGGGGGTCAGGGGTCAGGGACCCACTTGAGGAGGCAGTCTGCCCGTTCTCAGATCTCCAGCTGCGTGCTGGGAGAACCACTGCTCTCTTCAAAGCTGTCAGACAGGGACACTTAAGTCTGCAGAGGTTACTGCTGTGTTTTTGTTTGTCTGTGCCCTGCCCCCAGAGGTGGAGCCTACAGAGGCAGGCAGGCCTCCTTGAGCTGTGGTGGGCTCCACCCAGTTCGAGCTTCCCGGCTGCTTTGTTTACCTAAGCAAGCCTGGGCAATGGCGGGCGCCCCTCCCCCAGCCTCGCTGCCGCCTTGCAGTTTGATCTCAGACTGCTGTGCTGGCAATCAGCGAGACTCCGTCGGGTAGGACCCTCCGAGCCAGATGCGGGATATAATCTCGTGGTGCGCCGTTTTTTAGGCCGGTCCGAAAAGCGCAATATTCGGGTGGGAGTGACCCGATTTTCCAGGTGCGTCCGTCACCCCTTTCTTTGACTAGGAAAGGGAACTCCCTGACCCCTGGCGCTTCCCGAGTGAGGCATTGCCTTACCCTGCTTCGGCTCGCGCACGGTGCGCGCACCCACTGACCTGTGCCCACTGTCTGGCACTCCCTAGTGAGATGAACCCGGTACCTCAGATGGAAATGCAGAAATCACCGTCTTCTATGTCACTCACGCTGGGAGCTGTAGACTGGAGCTGTTCCTATTCGGCCATCTTGGCTCCTCTTTTTTTTTTTTTTTTTTTTTTACATAGATGAAGGGGACCTCTCATAATAGATGGCACCTTGAGTTGGGTTGTAGCTGGCTTTTGCAGTTGCTTAGATGAGTATTGCATTGTTCCAGTCGTCCTATTCTGAAATGTGTCTGAGAATCCTGTTTTAGAGCCAAGCTCCATTCTAGCAAACAGTAGTGCAAGCCCCACTCCTTGGCCTGATTGATACAGTAATGGCACTGTCCACCCCCTAGCCACCCCGGGAGTACTCTCTGTGGGGAGTTTGCTGCTGCCGTCTAAACTGAAATGGACTTGATTTTCTCTTCTGAGTAGATGCTCAGCTGTAATCCATTGGGAGAAAATTCTTGATTTCTTGGGATATTTAGGAAGGCTAGCGACAGGTAGGAGCTTCTTTATTTATTATGCTTTTCTCTAGAAGCTTCATTGAATACATTATCTTCTGCCCCACACCCCAGGGCTTTGACCAAAATATCCTTGAGATACTGTGGCCCATATTCGGTCACAGAGGTGCACTGTTCTTTTGAAAGAATGGCATGCCGCAACTTACCTACTCACCTACAGAAGGTGAGTGCTGCAAGGCAGTCCCAGTAGGCACTTGGAGTGGAGCTTTGATGAATCCGAAGGATCATGGGCTTTGGAATCACAAGACCCAGGTCCAAGGCCTGATCTCTGCTTCTTACCAGCAGGCTGTGAAGGCTGTGAAACACTTCAAAGGCCCGTAATTTCTCAGTTTGTAAAAACAGCGATTTTCATTTCTGTCTCTTAGGGGTTGATTCAGTGAGACAGTGGCTGTGGAAAAACTTTATAGACTGTAAAGTGTTAAAGACATATCCTTTGTCTCTGTTCTTATCTAAGAATGATGTTTTAATGCTTTTGAGCAGGACACAGAGAGGTGCTACAGGGACAGGGTTGCTTCTACCACCAGCCATCTGGCTATGTTGATAACTGGGATCTGTGTACTTCTTGACCTGTGATGCTCAAGTCTTAATATGCATCAGAGTCACTTGGGGGCTAGGCCCCATGTCTCTAAAATCCCCTTGGTTGATCTGGGATCCATGTGTCATTAGCTCCCCAGCTATTCTGATGGAGGTTACCCATAAGCTCCACTTTGAGAAAAACTAGAGCGTACAGCTTGGACTAGATGACCATGGAGATTGGGATGGAAGGAAAAGCATGGTAGGGTCATGTCTGTGTGCACCCCTGAATGAGAGGCAAGGACTCCTTCGTGTTGAGTTAACCAACAGCTCTTCTGGGCTCTGCCACTATCACGTTCCATTTGTTAACAGTTGCTTCCTGTGTGTGTTTGTGTTTTTTTCTGGTTGGGATGTTTGGCCTCTTTTAGTTGTGAGAAACAATGCTGGGGCCATGAGTGTAAAAGCATCTTCTGTTTTATTGTTGGTAGCAATAGTTGCCTGGCTTGACTGAAAGTCATTTTCCTTGGAGGTTGTACCTAAAGATTTAGCGGATGGATCAAGACCATTGTCCTGCTCTGGCTTTCTGATATCACCTCACCTCATGGTGTCTGTGGGCTTAGTTTACCCTTCATTTATTTTGAGCACCAATGGACAGCTGTCTTTGTTTTGTGTGTTTTGTGAGGAAGATGTCTTGGGAGCCTTCAGTGAAGATAGAGTGTGTGTGTGTGCATGCGTGTGTGCGTGCGTGTGTGTGTGCTTGCGTGTGTGTGCGTGCATGTGTGTGCGTGTGTGCGTGCGTGTGTGTGTGTGCATGGTGGGATAAGGGATAAGGTCATTTGAGAGGATCTGGAAGCCAAGGGAAACAGGTCTGCTGGGAATTCCAAAATTCTGTCTAGTAGAAGATCTTAAAGTTTATTCCTCATCGGAGCTCTTAGCAGAGCCGGCACAAGCTTAAGTGACCTTGAAGCCTTTAGAAAGAGCAGCTTCTCCGCAATGCCAGTCACATGGCACAGAAGATCAAGATGTTGTTTAAATAAAATCTTGCAGCAGCATCCATTTCACAGGTCCCTGGGGCCGCGTGTAGTCAGTACTAGAAGGGCAAGACTTTAAAACAAGTATGTGGTGTAACAGTAGCATTCTTTTTATTTTATTTATTTATTTTTATTGTTTATTTTTTCGTTTTTATTTTTTTTTTGCCCCCAGTTGAAGAAGACCAGGAAAGAATCTTCTTTTAAAAAACTGAGCTCTATCTGTCCTGATTCCTGGTGCTGCTTCAGGTATCTACCTTAATTTTCTTATATTCCTATGAAGACAGTGGTTTGGATAATTGGAGGTAGCTATACACTGAAATTATTAAATTGTTTACCTTCAAAACAGGAGTAGACCAGAAATGCAGGTCCTTGTCCTCAGAACTGCAGTTCACATCATATTCAGTAATTAATTTAATAGTCACGTTTTCCTCCCAGGCTAGACAGGAAGGGCACTAACTTTGACTTAGGATCCCTTTTGTAGCTCCCACATTATGTGAGGATATCAATTTGCCTTCTGTTTATTTTTCTTTATTATAAAAATAAATTTATTATAAAAACTTTATTATAAAATTTTGCTGTCATTTAAAAATATACGGAAAAGGTGAAACAATGAAGAAATCTACAATCACCTAAAAGCAACTACAATGAATATTTTAGCTGATCTCATGCCAGTGATTCATCTGTATATATATATATATATATATATATATATATATATATATATATAGGGCTCCATGAATTAACCTAAATGACAGAGCAGGTTAGGTGCTTAATATTCTGAGGCCATCTAAACTCAACATCTTGCCTTTCTCTTGAGGGCAGCTCCTCCACTAGTCCCTTTTCTTCATGGTTTCAGAGACTTTCCCAGCCTGCCAGTCTTCATTTGGAGGCTTTCTATGGAGCTTTGTGAAATCACAGTAAACCCTTTGACATGCAGCGCTGTTGCCCACCTAGTCTTCAGCCTTGCTGTAAAGGTGAAGTAGATTAGTTAGACAGGGTTTTGCCCTTCTGACTCCTTGTTGATTATCTCTTTTTAGATAATTACTATTCATGTACCTTTCTCAATGCCCTTAGGTGAGAGAATAGCTTCCTTTCTTCCTGATTTGATTCTGTAGCATAGACAACCTTCCTTTCAGGGGGCTGGATTCATTTAACTCTTATCTTCAGGCCAGCTGCTGTGCTTGCACCTGGGGGAAGGAGGTTTGCTTGTGTGCTGCATGTTGACCCTTATACATTTTATCTAAGAGAACATTTTCAAATGAAAGAAGCTGTCTAGGCCTGGTGCGGTGGCTCATGCCTGTAATCCCAGCACTTTGAGAGACCCAGGCAGGTGGATCCCAAAGTCAGGAGTTCGAGACCAGGCTGGCCAACATAGTGAAACGCCGTCTCTCCTAAAAATACAAAAATTAGCCGGGCGTGGTGGCGGGCGCCTGTAGTCCCAGCTACTTGGGAGGCTGAGGCAGGAGAATCACTTGAACCTGGGAGGCGGAGGTTACAATGAGCTGAGATCGCGCCACTGCACTCCAGCCTGGGCAACAGAGCGAGACTCCGTCTCAAAAAAAAAAAAAAAAAAAAAAAAAAAGAAGCTGTCTCATGACCATGGCTCCATGCCTTCCTCTCCTCCTCACCTCCTCACCCCAACTACCCCTCTATTCTTTGCTCAAATCAAACTCCGGCTTGCCCACTAGATGAGATTTACTCACCCACAGTAGTCTGTATTTTTCCAAAGAAGAAAAAGAGGTATTCATGACTATATCCTGATAAATGATGAAGCCTTCCCTCCCAGCCCACTCTGAGTGAGTGAGTGACCCCTTTCTTCTCAGTTCCTGCTACTGAGTGAGTTTCTCTGTCTCTCTCGCTCGCTCTTTCTCTTTTTTTTTTTTTTTGGAACTGTTGTTTAGAAGTAAGAATTTGTCATTCTTACCAAAGCACTGGGCATGGGCCTGTTCTCTCTTGGGCTACTCTGACCAGGGGTTGGTTTCCTAGACCTGCATCCAGGTGTGTTTTCACGGAAAATACCCCTCCCTCTCTTAGGGTTTCCTCGGGCAGCCCTGGTGACGTTGGTCACAATGGAGGATGCTGAGAGGACAGTGGTGGTTGGGCACACCCTCTCGTAGAGCACAGGACCAATGTCTTCCTGACGGTGTTCACTCATTCCTTTGTGCGGCCATCAGATAGCAGTGGTGGTGCCTGGTAGTAGGGGAAGGTTTACAAACCCTGGGGCAGCTCCTGCATGAGGAGGGCCAGCACATTCAGGGAACTGAAATAATTCAGGCCCTCCTGAGCACAAGCTTGTCCTCTATGCAAAGGTGAAGCAGTTCATACACTCAGAGGATTTTAGAATTAAAAGGAACAGTTTTAACTGTTGGACTTTAGTCCTTCAATCCATCCTTATGGTTTTCTGGGAGAGAAAAAGGTCCACCGAGGTAAAGTGAGTTGCCCACACACGTGACTGGCTGATGTGGCCTGCAGACTCGTATCCCGGAGATCATGCCAATCTCAAGCCACCGAACATAATTATCACCTACTTCCAGAATGACATTCCATATCCCTGAAAATGGAAAATCAATTTTGAAACAATCTAAGCAAAGAAAGAGGACCATCTTCTGTGCTAGTGTGTTGTATGCAGTAGGAAGAACGGGCTTCGGAGTGGACACAGACCCATGTTCAAATGTAAATTCTTCCATTTACTAGGTGGGTGATTTCAGGCAGCATGCTTAACCTTTCAGAGCCTCAGTTTATATCATCAGTAAAATGAAGATAACCTTTCAAGAATTCATCAAAAAGATTAATGGAACAGTATCCATAGAGCACCTGTACAGCACATCACCTGATTTTTAACTTTCAAGAAATAGTGGTTATTGGCCATTTGTGATTAGAGATGTGTTCACTCCTCACTGATCTGTGTTTAGGAAGATAGCTTTTTCCAAATATGAAATTTTTATGTGTCTGGTAGAGAGAGGGTGGAAATGGAACTGTGGTTGTAAAGGCAAAATGACAAGAACGGCCACATTAGATCATTAACTGTTCCAAAAACCTCTCATCAGATGTTTTTCCAAATTCAGAAGATCCTAAGCCCAGTCCTTTAAAAAAATAATGTTAAAAGTATAGTGCTAAGAAACCCAAGACTTTCAACATTTCAAATCTGTCTGGGAGTACACATACAGAAAGCATAACAGATAGTTAATGGAATCTGTCTTTTTGATGATAATTATAGCATTCTTAAGTAGGCTGGAAACACATCTGTATACCTGAACTGCTTCAAAATTATTTGCTTCAAGGGGGCATTCAGTATCTTGCTAAACTTTCAAGTTAGAGATAACTACTGTTTAAATTGATGGCAGGTGTTTGATCTATAAATAAGAGCTGTACTTTGCACTTCAGCGCTCTGTTTACCTGCTGCACGGTGTTCATTTGCATCACCCTGGGAAACTGGAAAGGCCACAGGAATAGGCATCAGTGATACACCAGACGTGACAGCTGAAACACAGCCTTCACACTTACAAATTCCAGGAGGGACTAGCTCTCCTTTCAGAGGCAAGAAGCCATGTTGAATTGGAAGATGCATCAGTGAGCCTGGAGAGAGGTGAGAAAATCATATCAGAAGTGTAATGAGCACTAGGGATTTTGTCCAGAGTATGTGATAACCTCACTAGCTACTGAAAAATCTTGCCTAGTTATTTATGTTTTCAGTCAGCCTCAGTGTGGAGACTGCACTCCCTCCGTCTGCTCGGCCACGTGGCTTTGGCAGCCTCATCTCTTTTCAGCATCGTGCCCATATTTCAATTTGCTGTTGGGGAATTCTTTGAAAAGTGCGTCTTTCTCTGCAGTTCTCAGCTCAGTTCTCATTCAAATTACAGAATTCTGATGCTGGTCCTGGGGCTTACCCAGGCTAGACACATAAGCTCTAAGAGGCTTTCCCTTTTCCACGCTCCTCACACCTGAAACTGCTGCTCAGGTCCATAGCGCAGGTCAGAGGGATGATCAGTTCTTGAATCACTCCCCAAACCCTGCCCCCACCAGCCTTCAACTCCGTGGCTGCAGTGGAGACAGAGGCTTTGGGTGAATAACAGAGTAGGTGCTGTCGACTGGCTTCCTGACTACTCACAGACCACAGTCTTGCCAGTACCAATGCCATCTGTACAAGGATGCTTAGAGTTCTGGGAAGGGAGTAAGGAGGATTAGCGGGGGATTCTGAAACAGGTGCCCTGCCTCAGGGCGCCAGAGTCATGGGGGTCATCCCCAGGGGAGGGATCACCAGTACAAATTGCTGTACAGTGAGCCTGTCTCATACTTGAGCTGCAGAATGAGTTGTAGGCTCTTAGTTCTGAGTTCTGTGACAGCCTCTCCCAGCCTGTTGGGTGAGAGGCCTCACCTAGCAAGAGAGGTGATGTTTGTTCCAAAGAGCTGCTCTAACTCGAAGGCTCTGCTGCCTTGTGGTAGACTCCCAGAGTACTGCGGAAAGAGACAAGGCCGCCTCCTGCCCAGGCAGCAGGAAGAACTGTTAAACTTGGTGAAATTGGTTTCTGGTGGTGAAATGGATGGTACCCAATGAGTACTACTTACCTCGTTTGTCCCCTCTGAAACCAAAATCTTGGCTCCAGTGGTAAATTGGGTACCTGCATTTCAGCTACCTGGAGGGTCTCTTTATCTTGGGACTTTGTGAAAATGACAATGAGAGAGAACCTGTCATCTATGATGAAGACTCAGTACAGCTAATTCCAAATCTTTACAATAATAAGTTGTCAAGGATAATACAGAGAAACTTCTGCCACCAGTCTGCAGTTCTGTCTCACTAGGGAATTGTCCCTGAGCAGTGTGGCCCTGGGAAGCTCCTCTGTGCTGGCCTGGCCAGGATCCTCTTTTCATTGTCCCCTTTTTGTCCTGGTCAGGCACAATTGTGCCCGCACTAGGATGTTTTCTGCGTCTTGCCTCCTAACCACGCCAAGCTTTCAGCCTTTACTTGGGAATCTAAACAATGCCTTCCTGACGTTGCACTCCTTGTTCTCTCTCACCTGAGTGTTTTTGTCTGTATGACCAGCTGCCACACAAAGGAACAACAGCAGGGTTCTCAGGGAGGGGCACTTCTTTGGTTCACAAAGTTAGAACTCTACTCCTTCCTCCTTTTGAACTCACTGGGCTTGGGAAGAAAGCGCCTCTCCTGCTTTCTCTGTGGGTCCCAACTGAGGTGGGTGCTATTGGTCCCTGAGGGAGACACAGACAAATCCCCGAAAGCCTGGCATAGCACTGTCTGTCAGTGCAGGTTTCATACAGAGGGTTGGAGAAAGGAAATGGGTGCACAGTTGGAGAAGAGAAAAGTGGCAGATGGTTCTGCAGGTTTTTTCTTCTCTTATTTGCCTGACAGATGAAATTGTAATTGATTTACCAAATGATCACTAATAACAAGGCCCATACTTGTTATGTGTTTGATAGTAGTGAGCAGCAGGAACCAGAGGCAGTACAGAGCCCTGAGTTATTTGGAGACCTCATGAAAAGCCTTTTGAGCCCAGTCTGACTTCTTAAAATCACAACCGGCCAGGAGCAGTGGCTCACGCCTGTAATCCCAGCACTTTGGGAGGCCGAGGCGGGCGGAGGTCAGGAGTCCAAGACCAGCCTGGCCAACATGGTGAAACCCCATCTCTTCTAAAAATACAAACATTAGCCAGGTGTGGTGGTGCATGCCTGTAATCTCAGCTGTTCGGGAGGCTGAGGCACGAGAATCGCTTGAACCCAGGAGGTAGTGGTTCCAATGAGCTGAGATCGTGCCATTGCACTCCAGCCTGGGCAACAAAATGAGACTCTGTCTCACAAATAAAAACTAAAAAAAAAAGAAATCACAACCTAATTTATTTCCAAAAAAAAGCACTGTCCTGGGATGGGACAGCATCCCCAAGAAGAGGCTGAGGCACACTGCAGCCTCAATGGAGACAACTACACCTGCACAACAGGCAAACCTCAAGAGCCTCAGCAAGTTGAGAAGGCCAGTGTGTGCTTGAGAAAGGGGAAAGTGGCCAGCCTCACCCGGTCCAGGCGGCTCCCTCCTGCACCAGCTCTCAAGAGGCCAGCTCCTTCCTGAGTCAGGTGGTTCTCAGATAAAGTGAAAGTGGAGGCTACGCTTATTTCCTTTTGAATTCTCAGACCTGCTGATTTCCATTTTTGTTGGAGCCTTGTGTGATTGTGTTACCCTCTTCCCTTTTTCCTTTCAAAAGGATGTTTTGGGGCATCATGGCAGCATGTGGAAGAGTATGTGTATATGGGTGCCCAGGTTTGTGTATGTGTGTTACGTAGGTGGGGGTATGCATGCCCATATTGGTGCCAGGCTCTGAGAGACAAAGAAACAAGTATGCCATCTTTAGATCTGATTTTAAAAAAGAAACACCCCAGCCAAGGGCGTTTATCTGCTTAATGTACCAGAACTCAACTGCAGGAAACCCATTTCTATATTAGCATATCATGAAAATGTGCAGTGCAGCTGCCTGGGAACAGCCAGTTTATTATTGCTGGGGGCCGTCCTGGGTTATGATCTGGAAGAATTTGAATCGCCCTTTACATTTTTTTCTGTCCTCATTTTGATTTTGGCAGTGGCAGAAGAGGAGAATACTCTCAAGAGATTAAATTATTTCCCTTTAAAATTCTCTTGGAATCATAACGACTATTAAAAATTAAAGGCACCCATATCTCATGCTATTCAGCTTAACTGGTAATTAAAGTGCAATTAAATTTTTCACGGTGTAGATTGCTTCTGTTTTTTTGTTTTTTGTTTTTTTTTTTTTTCCCTGGGAAATTACAAACTCTGGGCTCTTGAGAGTTACAGGATTAATCTATAGACTTTTAATAATTCAGCTTTGATCAGGTGCCGTCACTTGATGCGTCTCTGAAAGGGAAGGGGGGACTGTAAAGTGTTGTTTTGTTATTAATGGTGAGTTTTAATTTTATTTGGTTTCTTAGAAACCAGGAAGTAACTACCAGTCCATGAATGCAAGGCCGTTTTCGAGTGCGGTTTTGAGTTGGCTGCGATTGCTCTCACTAATGTGTGCCGGTAATTCTCTCTCTGCTGCCAGGCCTGCTTCCCTCAAGTAGCATTGTGTAATTTGGGGTACAGTCCTGAGTTGTCACCAGTGAACAAGGTGTCAACATTGGACCGGAAGTTCGGAGGCTGACTTCGGTGGACCCTTTCTGGCCTTGGCCAAATGTTTCTTTTTCTCTCTTCTTCTTCCTCTCCAACCTTTTTTTTTTCTTTGTTGGTAAAAACGCGTTTGCATTGCAGAGCTGTAATCATAAGCAATTTCTTGACTTTTGTAAGACCTTTTGCTGACCTGAGGCTGATGGCCCCAGAGAGACCTGGTCAGCAGCATGGTCTCTGTGTAAGGAGAGTGGCCCTGGTCAGTTTGGCCAGGAGTGGAGGTGAGGGCTGCCCACTGTAGCCCGCCTGCAGCAGGACTTGCCATTTTCCAGCAAGCCTCCCAGTTGCACCATGCAGCCTGTGGGTGCTGCGTGGGAGGAGGAGTGAGCAGCAGCAGCCTGACCACACCCCACTCTTGACTGGTCCCAGAAGACACCTTCAGCCCTGTCCTCAATCCTGACTCATTTCTCTGTTCATTTCTAACTGTTAGGAAGATATGTCTTACCATTTTTCTCCCTCTTTTTTTTTTTTTTTTTTTTTTTTTTTTTGAGACGGAGTCTCGCTCTGTCGCCCAGGCCGGATTGCGGACTGCAGTGGCGCGATCTCGGCTCACTGCAAGCTCCGCCTCCCGGGTTCACGCCATTCTCCTGCCTCAGCCTCCCGAGTAGCTGGGACTACAGGCGCCCGCCACCGCGCCCGGCTAATTTTTTGTATTTTTAGTAGAGACGGGGTTTCACCTTGTTAGCCAGGATGGTCTCCATCTCCTGACCTCATGATCCACCCGCCTCGGCCTCCCAAAGTGCTGGGATTACAGGCGTGAGCCACCGCGCCCGGCCTTCTCCCTCTTTTAACCCACTTTGAAAGTTCATCTTTAGAAATAACACGTATCCCAAGTTGGCAAGGTGTCAGTTTAGGGCCAAGTTCCTGCAATATAGCATAGCAAGGAAGGGTTCAGGTATCGGAGGCAGGTAGGTTTCTGCGGCAACTCCATTGCTTTGAGATATTTTATTGTAGACATGGAATTTAACTTCCCTGAGCCTCAGTTTTCCCATTTCTAAAATGGATTTATTTACAGTACCTACCTCACAGCGTTGTGATAAGGATTAAGTAAGACAAATCCTAGCAATATGGATGGCAAAAAATAAGCATTCAACAAATATAAGCTGTTACTGTTTTTATTATTGATCATGAAATAGAACATCAGCATTTCTCTTTTTTACTTCTGGTATATTTTAATTCTGCATCCCCACTTTGGAGTAATTTTATAATATTTCCTAACAGACTGGAATTCTTTCTCTTCTTTCTCTTTCTTTTATCCTCTTTATGAGTAGCAAAAAAAGTTGAACAACTGGAAAGACCCCGTCTTCTTCATAACTGTCTTCCCAGCAGCTAACATATTCTCTGACACATAGTAGGCACTCAACTTGTAATAGATGGCCACAGGGTTGAAAGGAATGTCCAGAATTGATCAGATGATGGGGTAGGAAAGAAGAGAATCATTCTGGTTTCTTTATCCTTCTATCTCAAGTCATATGCTGCATATACTGAAGCAGTAGAAGGAACTTGGGAATATAAATTATATTAAAGCTGCAGATTCTTCAAATAATGTGCCCAAGCCTGGATTCTGAAGGCTTATTTGTCAGGTAAGACAGCAGATACTGAATCTCATATTAGCTCACAGGATAATGGCACAATGCATCATCAGTCTGAATGGGGACAGTACACAATTTTCTTTTGATTGCCTGGAGCCACAGACGGGGTGAGCACTGAATATTGATTTTTCAAAGGATGACTAATAGATGGTAAAAAAGCAAAATAGTTTTTGGTTTCAACCTATCCCTTTCCTGTGCCACAAATTTTGGCAGTAAATTAAAATAAACTTTTATTTCCCCAAAACAGGTAAAAGAGCAGAATTTATGCAGGAAGACTTAAGACACAAATGAACAGATGGCTGTGACTTTACAAATTGCACATCAGCAAATGTTTAACCAGCTCAGAAAATAGACAAAACTGATTAGAAACATTGAGTACTGTTCTGCTACTCTTATGGTTAGGATAATCTGACAATATTCTAGTAACTTTCATCTAATAACAATTTGATAATTTTAATCCAGTCTTAGGTCTTGGCTTGTGCAATTTTTCACAGTATACCTGACATCCAGCTTCTTGCTTCTGATGAGGACATAATAAACTTGCCCCTCTCTTATATTATCAACATTTGATTATGAAATAGCCTGATTCTTCCCTTCTCTGCATTAGTAACGTACTGGTTAAATCTACACATGTGGTAAACTTTTTTTTTTTTTTTCATTCTCACTTACCAGGAAATTCTATTTTCTTTTACCCAGGCTCTTACAATTTATCTGTGCAGGGTTTTAACTGCTTGGGCCTTGAACGCATGTACTTGTGAATCAGACTAGAAGCCAAAGCTTTTTTGAAGTTTTGATATGAAATGGGTCTTGCTTGTTGTGATTCAGTTCAACATTTTGAGATGGGTTGGTCCAGCATCATAAGCTTTTGTGTATGTGGTGGGTATCTTTGTGCTGCCACAACAAAATACCACAGACTGGGTAATTTATAAACAACAGAAAGTTACTCAGCACAGTTGGAGAGGCTGAGACACCAAGATCCAGGCACTGGCAGGTTCAGCGCCTGGTGAGGGCTGCTCGCTCCAACTTCAAGATGGTTCCTTGTTGCTGTGGCCTCCAGAGGGGATGAACTCTGTGTCCTCACGTGGCAGAATGCAAAAGGGCAAAAAAGGGGCCTAAGTTAGTTCCCTCTAGCTCTTTTATAAGGTACTAATTCATTTATAAGAGCAGAGCCCTCATGGCTTAATCAGTTCCCAAAGGCCCCACTCTTACTACCACTACAGTGGGAATTAAGTTTTTTTGTTTTTGTTTTTGTTTTGAGACGGAGTCTCGCTTTGTCACCCAGGCTGGAGTGCAGTGGTGCAATCTCAGCTCAATGCAAGCTCCGCCTCCCAGGTCCATGCCATTCTCCTGCCTCAGCCTCCCGAGTAGCTGGGACTACAGGCGCCCGTATTTTTAGTAGAGATGGGGTTTCACCACATTAGCCAGGATGGTCTGGATCTCCTGACTTCGTGATCCGCCTGCCTTGGCCTCCCAAAGTGCCACTGCGCCCGGCCGGGAATTAAGTTTTAACACATTAATTTGGGAGAACATCCAGACCACGGCAGTGAGTGCTATTGTGTGTGTATGCATGAGTATGTGCTTTAATAAGAAAGATACTGACTCAGCTGGGCGCGGTGCCTCACGCCTGTAATCCCAACACTTTGGGAGGCCGAGATGGGCAGATCACAAGGACAGGAGTTCAAGACCAGCCTGGCCAATATGTTGAAACCCTGTCTCTACTAAAAATACAAAAATTACCCGAGTGTGGTGGTGGGCGCCTGTGGTCCCAGCTGCTTGGAAGTCTGAGGCAGGAGAATCCTTGAACCCGGGAGGCGGAGGTTGCAGTGAGCCGAGATTGTGCCACTCCACTCCAGCCTGGGCGACAGAGAGAGACTCTGTCTCAAAAAAAAAAAAAAAAAATACTGACTTACGTAACTGGAAAGTCCAGGGATATCTGGCCTCAAGCCTGGTTGGATCCAGGGCTCAAAGGATCCAATAGGACATTGTTTCTCTGCATCTCTCTGTTCCCTCTTCTGTTGGCTTCAAAATCAGGCACATCAAATTTTAGAAATTTTCTTAAGCTGATAGGTTTGTGTGTTTGTCATTTTCCTTCCAGCTTTTGTTAACTCTAGAAATAATGATTTTCCTTTCCTTAAGAATTCCCACCTAATTCTAGTAGTTCCAGAAGGCATTTCTATAATGTCGTTTTGTTACATAATAACTTTTTAGCCTCCACGTGGCTGGGGTTTGCATTTGAGTTGTCGTCCATCTTCTTCCCACCATCATTGCACTCAGAGAAAAACCTGTAGAATACCACTTTCCCCAGCCACTGGGGGGCTTTGTGTGTATTTAACCATATGAAACTGTTGACAGTCACCATTGTTGACCTGTGAAATTGGCCAGTTCATACGTGAAATTGGCCAGTTCATATGGTTCAACCTAAAACACCAGGTTTGTAGTGGTAATTGTTTCTCAGCAACAGCAGTTGTGTCTAGAAAGCTTTGCATAAATTAATGTTTTTATTTTGCTGTTGGTTTGCTCCTAGCACCTCTCCTGTGCCCCAGTGTGACGAATAAACAGCTGGAGGCAAATGACAGAGTGCTTGCACATACGGCAAGCCATTCATAACTGAATCCCAGGTGCAAGATGACCATCTTTCATGTCACAGTCAGAGGTTTCGGCACGCCATTCCGGAATTTCACCATTAAATTAGGTCCTGTGAATCAGATAATGAAGAAAGAGAAGAAGTATTTTTAGAAGCTGTAGAGCTTCTCTGCCAGCCCTGTGAGTCTTGAACATTCATGCTTTTTAACTCATTTCTGGCAGTTTTGAGAGGCAAGTGGTGTCCACAGATTCATAAAGGCCAATGTTGCCTGTGTGCCAAGGCAGTTGGCAGCTGATAGAATTTCAGAACTAGAGAAGACTTTAAAGGTGATCTGATGGCAGCCCCTCAACAAGTCTCAATGACTTAAGAGATTTGCCCAAGATAAGAGCTTAAGACGAGGCCCAAGGTTTCCAGTCTGGTTCTGTCTTCCGATTATTCCATTATCTTGAAGAGCAATGCTGGCCTGGCAGATTCATTCCTCACTCTCTTCATAGCTTGACTTTTGTTGTTTTAAAAGAAATCACAGAATTTTAGGCCACCAACAGGCACCATGAGGGAACATTGGAAACTGGAGCCACCTTATTATCCAGAAAGCTCTGGAGCCCAAAGCCAGGCCCTAGGCTATAGCCTGAAGCCACTAACCAGGGGTAGCTGAAGCATGGTTGATTCCATCTCTAGTACTGCAATACTCCTGCTTTGGGGAGGTATGCAATGCAAAATGTATCTTTTTAAAAAACCAATCATTTTTCAAGAGATTAAGTTGAATAAAATGAAATTAGTTGTGACCTTGATATCAAGTAGCTATTTTCATAATTTGTAGTAAAGGAAAAAGAGAGTTGTCTTATGACTTGGGGAGAGGGGGAGGTCAGCGTTTGGCTCTCTGGCCCTAGGACTAGTGTAGTTGAGGTGAAGACTTCAATGGCTTCACAGCAGTTGTCTCCTGCTGAGCTTGTGGCCACTGAGAACTTCTAGAACTCCATGCCAGGAACACTACCAAGTCAAATCTCCCCATTCTGTGGGTATTCAGTAATTTTGTTGCTTAAATGCAGGTTTACTATGAGAGCAACTCAAATTATTTTAAATAAGTAATTATAAAATAGAACTCAGTGGAATACATTGGTGACAATGTTGTTTACGCATTCCTAACGTCAGTCCACCAGGAATCTCTGCCCTAAGGTTGTAAAACATGCAACCTTCCTTTAATCAGTAGGACTGATTGATTATATATAACAAGTCTTAAGAGTCTACAAATGGCGTTATTATATTTTGGAAGAACACGATTTGGTGACATTACTCAAAGGTTTTTTTTTTTGGTGTTTTGGTGTTTTTTTAAACAACTTACTTGTTTTATTCATGTGTCGTTGTTTTTGTAGATCCTTCCACAGAGTTTTGTTTTGTTTTGTTTTTTTAAAGCTACATGCTGGGTTTCCCTTTTTTATTGATACAATTATTAGCTTTAGCCCATTTTTCCAACTTGAGTTTTTGTGATTTTTTTTTTTTTTTTAACAAATCCTGATTCTGCTATTCTTTGTGTAAAAGAAGATAACTAACTTTACTGGTTCACTTTATATACCTTGGCTCATTAATTCTTTACAATAACCCTACAAAATCGAAATCATTGTCACACTTTATAGATGAAGAAATGGAGAGTCTGCTGGATTAACTACCATGGCCAAGATTATAAGAGCTCTTATCCCTTCCTCTGAGCTTCGTAGCAGCTGCAGGTTTGATAAACATGTCTTAAATATCTTCATCTAAATCATGGACTTAGACTTGAATGCCTGAAGTCTGAGATATTTATGACAAGAAGTAAGTTTAGTTACCGTGGCTAGAAATGATGGCCTGATTCCATGCCCTCCAGGCCAGAGGGATGCACTCATCAGCGTCTTGTGGGAACAGTTTGCAACCACTTAACAATCCACCTTGTCAAATCCGATACTCTGTTTATTGACACTATTATTGTTTTTGAAAACACTTTTGCATATAAAAGCATCAAACACATTTTTAAAAGTTTAGCTATTTTAAACATTTGTAATTGGCTCTAGTATAATACGTAGCACACCCAGACAAAAATAAACTTCTTTAGGATTGAATTCTCTTAAGTGGGGCTGTTTATTTGGCTTGTCCACCAGAAACTTGACTTTAAAAGTCAAATAAGACGTAGTCAGTTCTGGCCCCCCTGCATAATAGTATCTAGAGGGCTGTTTCAACCCAGGATTTTATGTAATGAACAAAGAATTTGCAGAGAATTACTACACCCCACATTCTGTAATGAAAACTGTATAAAATTCATTCTACACAATTATGTCCAACTAACCATGAGTATGCCCTGCTATTAGTTTCTGTTTCTTTGTCATCAGGAAGGTGGTATTACTCTTTAGCCACACTGGCCAAGAAAAGAGTCATTGTCAGCCAGCCCGAATCCTTCCCCAAGTTCCTGGGGCCCTGTGACAGATGTCTCTCATTCTCCCATGGATGGTGTTGGGATGTCCACTACTTGCTTTAGGAAAAAAAACTTAGTCTTTTCTTATGCATTTGTACAAAACAGTCTTTAAGAACAAAGTTTTCATCATTTGTTATCCACAGATGTCATTTTTCCCAACCAGCTTGATCTAGAGAAGTTAATGGCTTATTTACGTAGGGACATCTGCATGACAGGGCTGTGTTCTGTTTTCTGCTTGAGCTCTCTTGGTCTGTATCCTTAATACCATTTGTTCATTAATGTCACAAATATTTAAATATGTATTGAGTACCTCCTATGTGCCAAGCACTATTAGATATAGCATTATTTAAAAAAAAAACCCAGCATATATAACCCTATCACTAGACAGTTTACACTCTAGCATGAGAGACAATGACATCATTACCAAAATATAGTGTATAGTTATGAACTGCATGAAGAGCTAGGAAGGAAAGATACACTGTTAGAAGAGCTTCCGATGGAAGGACCTGCTTTTAGGTAGAAACAGGAGGTGATGGGAAGGGAGCCCAGTTGTGAGAGTAAAGTGAACTACCGGAGGGGCTGGCCAGCCTCAGAGAAGAGCTCTCCCTGACCCGGTAGCAGGAGGGAAAATACCACACTCAAGAACCTGCACAACAGCTAGGGTGGTGACAGGCATGGGGAGATGAAGGAAGCGGGACAGGACAAGTGGCCCAGAATGAGGCTGATGAAGTGGGCACATACCTTAGGCCCACGGCTGCACAGCGGTTTTTGCAGGGTGTTTGTTATTAAGTGCAGATGCCACCTTGGAGTGGCTTCAAAGTGATGCCAACTGTTTGCACATTGGTGTGAATTCCAGTGCTGCAGCATGAGGTGGGCAGATGGACAGGTGGACAGGTGTGCCTAGGTCGGGAGATCCTGCAGGAAGCTTCTCTGCCTTACTGGTTCATTGGTGTGAATTCCAGCGCTGCAGCATGAGGTGGGCAGATGGACAGGTGGACAGGTGTGCCGAGGTCGGGAGATCCTGCAGGAAGCTTCTCTGCCTCACTGATTCATTAGCAGATACCACAGAGAAGTTAATCCAGGGCAGACAGATGCCTCCTCTACCAGCGTCAGCAGCCAAAATACAAAGAGAACAATGTGCTGTACCCAGTTTACTCACATGACTAACATTCGTTACACTTTATAATAAAACATAAAAATGTTTGTTTGCATAAACTCACACATTGCCTAGCTTGCTTCAGAGTAACTAAATTTACTTCTTGTCATGATATCTCAGACTTCACGCATTCGAGTCCATTTAGTGTTCATTTAATTGGAAAGGAGAAGAGAGGGACTATAACAGCACTTGCTGGTGATTGTGGTGGATTGGCTGTTTTCAGACCCTTTAGAGAACCCAGTTTTTGGGGTCCTACACAGTTGAGAGCAGGGCTGAGTGTAGGAATCAGAATTGAGAGAACTGAGTGCATCAGACATGGTGGGACATGGCAGACCTTCCTGCTGAGCTGCTGCAACCCCTCCCCTCGGCCCCTCTCTCTCTGTGATGTTGCTCTTGTTGCTGTGCTCCTTGCACAGCTGTGTAGGAGGACCAGGGAAGGCTGGATGCCCAGCCCTCTCCCTTCAACCTCTCTGTACCTAATAGGAATAAGGAGCTGTCACCTATAGCTCTGATTCCTCTCTGGGAGCATTTATCATCTCTCAGAGGAGTAGGCAGGTTCTCTGCTATGGAGAGGGCTAGAGCTTGTTCTGTGAAGAGTATCGAGGGTGCAGACAGGAGTGAAAAGAGAAGAGTGCCTGTTGGATGGATATTTGCTGTGTGAAAAAGTAACAAGGACATCATCAGGCTGCAGTGAGTCCAGTTGGAAGCAGGGCCTGCCGGGAACACTAAGGCATGGTCTGAGGGGCCTGAGCAAGGCTGGGCTGAGGGGTTGATGGTGTTCTAGGGGGAAAAGAATGAGAGAAAGTGGGAGGAAGAAGAAAATAGGTAGTGAAGGCCAGAAGGGTGATCTGAAGAGATTCAAACAACATAAGAGAGGAATTAAGCTTTGAGTGGTCATCTAATAAGGGAGCAACAGGAGGCACAGGAAAAGCCAGCAGTGGTAGCGGAGGGGTAGCTGCCCCGCTCCTGTTCAGCCTCGTCCAGTACAAGCCCAGCCTGAGAAAACACATCTGGGCATCACAAAGAATGGAGCCCAAGGCTCTTGAAATTTCCCTCTTTCTTCCTGGTTCTGGGGTGGGCAGATTAAGAAGCTGGGTGGCTCTTAAGCATGGGGAAGGCTCAAGGTGTGTGTGTGTGTGTGTGTGGTGTGTTGTGTATGTGTGTGTATGTGTGTGCATATTTTTATGTGTGTGTATGTGTGTGGGGGTGTGTATGTGTGTGTATGTGTGTGTGTGTGTGCGCGTGTGTGTGTTGACAGGTCAAGATCCTTCCCTCAGAAGGCTTCTCAGTCTGCCCTTCCCCATGGGCCGGGGCCGCTCTGGCTCCCACTGGAAATTGCTTCCTCTTTTGAGGGTAGGGAAGGGGCTCAGGGACTGCAGACCAGCTCGACACAGGCACTACTGGGTGATGGCGCAGGCCAGGCTAAGGAGCTGGGTAGGAGTGAGCTCGCCTGCAGCAGCTCAGTGCAGAATCCTCTGTGCTTTCCTGGAATATGAAATAGCCAGTAATAGCCAAGAGTTGCATATTTTAAAAAAAAAAATAAGAATGTTTCTACTTTCTAGACAGTGATTCATTTACATTGGGACACACTGGACGTTGATGCCGAATGAGCAAATGAACAAGGCTTTATCTGGTTTCTGTACCTCAACCCAAAATTCTCACGTACTGAGCATCCTCAAACCCATATTGTGAAAAGCTTTGTAGCTTTTGAAAATAAAATTCCCTAGAACACATAAGAAGCAGACCACAAGCAATGAGCCTCGCTGGTGTCTTGATCCACCTTTTTTTTTTTTTTTTTTTTGGAACCCGGAAGCAATTGAGAGGACATGTCTTGGCATAGCTTTGAAAACCGGCCAGTAGGGGGCGTCTGCAGTGGACCTGAAATCTCCTTAGAGTTGGCCGTTTCTTTTTCTTTTCTTTTCTTTTCTTTATATCTATCTATCTATCTATATATAATTATACTTTAAGTTCTAGGGTACATGTGCACAACGTGCAGGTTTGTTACATATGTATACATGTGCCATGTTGGTGTGCTGCACCCATTAACTTGTCATTTACATTAGGTATATCTCCTAATGCTATCCTACCCCCTCCCCCCACCCCACCACAGGCCCCAGTGTGTGATGTTCCCCTTCCTGTGTCCAAGCGTTCTCATTGTTCAGTTCCCACCTATCAGTGAGAACATGTGGTGTTTGGTTTTTTGTCCTTGTGATAGTTTGTTGAGAATGATGGTTTCCAGCTTCATCCATGTCCCTACAAAGGACATGAAATATCCTTTTTTGTGGCTGCATAGTATTCCATGGTGTATATATGCCACATTTTCTTAATCCAGTCTATCATTGTTGGACATTTGGGTTGGTTCCAAGTCTTTGCTATTGTGAGTACTGCTGCAATAAACATACGTGTGCATGTGTCTTTATAGCAGCATGATTGATATTCCTTTGGGTATGGACCTGAAGTAAAGCCCTGTTCAAAGGAAAACATTCACCAAATCCCCTCATATTCTGTATCTCACAATTTGGTACTTGAATAGAAAGTGCCTTGTAGTAACTATTCTTGAAAACTTTGTATTTACACTACCAAAGAAGCAATTTCCTCTATAGCCTGATTCTTGAGTACACTAACCGGTACAGATATGTCTCCTCCTGTCCTTCCAAATTCATTATTTCATAGGTGTTTTGCACCTTAAGTCATGGCCTTTCGTTTTTGACAGACTAATTGGAATTGTGATGCTTTCTGCAGAGCCAGTGGGAGAAAGAGAAAAAAATGCTGAGCCTTCCCAGCTTCAACAGGTGGTTGCAGTATGTTTGGAGCTAATAGAATGGAGCAGTGATCTAGCTGTCCTAAAAGAGCTAACTGCAGATGCGGAGACTATGGCTGTGGAGTGGAGTCTTGATGACACTCTGCTCTCCTCCACACTCACATGAGAATATGCAAGAGTTTTGTGCGTATCAAATTTCATTGATCTGGCCTCACTGATTTTGAATTTATGGTACTGTAGAGAGAGAGCTGATACTCACATTTCCAGTGTCTGTAGATGGAAAAAAATTGTTTCCTGTGAAAATCATAAATATGTAGGAAATTATAGGGGAAATGCTAGCCCATTCATGCTGCCTTTACAGCATGCTATCCCCGCTAAAAAGATAGTTGATCATAGACAGTTCTTTACTGTTCATTAAAGTAGGTCCTGGCAGGGTCTCTATTTGGCAGTGTCCTGTAAACCATTACTCTGTGCTGTTGTACAGGGTTACAAGAAATCAGTCTCCATTTTATTAAAAAAAAAATCTAGAATTCCAAATCTCCATTAATTTGGATGTTTCATCATCCCAATTCGTCCCAATAAGGTTTTATTATATTTTATTTTTGATAAAATATTGAAACAAGAGACTATTTGATTATTGGACATAATACCTTAAGTTCCAGGTAATTTCATCATCTGAGTCCTGAAAAGAAACTCAGACTTCCCAACCCAAGAAGTCTGCTGTCTTTCACATTGGGCCATACCTGTACATATCCTTGACCTTTATATTTGTAGGCAGCACCACTGTCAATGTTAGTGGTGTAGGTACATCTTACCAAAAAGAAGTGTGGCCTGTAAGCTGTGGTTTGGGCGATCTTGTGACTGTTTGCAACTTTGCTCTGAAGACAACTAACTGGATCCAATTAATAAACAATTGGGAGATAGGGTTACTAAGATAGAGTGATCAGAAAAGTGCCTTCTGAGACTGTATTTAAGCTGAAATTAAAAGGCTGAGAATAGTATTTAGGGAGAGAGACTGTATTTAAGCTGAAATTAAAAGGCCGAGAATAGTATTTAGGGAGAGAGGGGACAAGAGCGTTCAGTGCTTGGCTCTTTCTCTTCATGCATGTGTCTGGTCTTGAGGTGGGAGAAATCTTGATTGACCAGAGAACTGAAGAGATAGCAAAGGAGGTGACTGGAGCGCATGGGCCCGTGGCATGAGGTGAGGTTGTAGAGAAAGTCAGGGAACTCCTTGGTGAGCTGGCATGGTTAGATCATGCTTTAGGCCACAAGAGACAAAATATAACAATGGGAAATTAAAAAGATATAGCTAGGCTCAAAGCGAGTGAATCTGAAAAAGAAGAGAAATGCAAAGAAGTGATGGAGCTGAAGCCACTGGCTACCTGGCTCTCGGATAAAGGAGGCAAAATGGCTGGGAATTTGGCTCCTGGAATGTAACAGGGACTAGATATGTACTCTGTGAAATGGGAAGTGGAGTCAGGCTCACTACTGAAAACCGGGGATGTTGATAAATGAGAGAGGACATCCTCACTATGATGGGAGGCTGATAAAAGTAACTGCTGACCTATGCCTGGAATGATGGTCGACATGAAGCTTGTGAGTCTATGGAGGTATAAGATCCCAGACACAGGATCCTGACCAGGGCCTGAGCCAAGCCACCTGCTGGTTCAGTGACTGGATTTGCAATGTCCCTATCACTGGGGATAGGATCCTTGAGCTAGCATTTAAGATCCTGTTCAAGATGAGGGCGTAGGCACTTGTGGGGGTAGGATGCAAATGGAGACAGGGACAGAGACAGATGGGAGAGAACCTGCCACTGAAATGAACATGCACACCTAAATGCCAAAACACATAAAGAAATAGAGCATCAAAAAGAGAACCACTGAGATTCACAATCAGAAATTCACTCCATATGGAAATAAAATTATAGAATAAAAGTTTTCAATTTATTCCAAATCCTTAAAGAGAAAAAAATGGATAATATCCACTGGGATTGGGGGACAAACATATGTGAAACAAGAACAGGAGAATAGGAACAGAACCAATCAGAAATCTCAGAAATGAAAACTATAGTCATTGAAATAAAAAAACCCACAAAGATACATTGAATTAAGAGATAGTGGTGAGGAATTTACCCAGAATGCAGCTCAGAGGAAAAAGACATTTTTTAAAATTATGCAAAAGCAGCTGAGGCAGGAGGGATATTTTGAGACTATCCAATAAGTTTCTAATAAGAAGTTCTTTAAGAAAGAGTAGAACGAATGACCAGCAAATTTTCAATTTGACAGAGTTTTTAAAAGGCATGAACCCTCAAATTCAAAGCATACCCCCAAGTACTGAGTGGTATCAATACAAAGAAATGTAAATACACACACACTAGTGAATCTTCAGAACATCGCTGGCAGAGAATCTTACAACCTGATTTCAATTTGATTGAGAGAACATCTCAACAGCCAGTGACGTCAGGTCACGTGGAATGTCTTCAATGTGCGAAAGCAAAGAATTGTCAAGAATTCTGTCTATAGTTAAACTGTCTCTCAAAAGTGAAAATGAAATAAAGATATTTTAAGAGGTACAAGGAATCTTGTTAAAATAATTTTTTAAAAAGAATGTGTATTACAAGAAAAGTAAACCCAGAGAGAAGTTGTAGAATGCGTAGAACAGTGTTGAGTATAGAAATTGCTGAAATGTCAGAAAATAGAATTTACTAATGAATGTGAACACAACTGCTTTCCCTGTGTTGAGACTGAAAGATGAAACTAAAATACTAGGTAAAAATGATAAGGAGAGTATAAATCCACATATATCACCATACATGTAAATGATTAAGATGAAATTTAAATATTAAGAGACAGGTTTTTTGTTTGGTTTTTTTTAAGCCCAGTTGCATGCTGCTTAAGAAGAAAACTGCACCAAGGGGTTAAAAATAATGAGATGAAATAGAGATATATCAAGACCACATTAATCAGAGGAAAGCTGGGTTAACTGTCATTATCAAACAATATAGACTTTAGGGCAGATGAAGCATTTGTGGAGATAAAACTCTTTATAAAAGAGAGGAAAGCATGAACCAGGTCATGTGGGGCTGTGGGCCATGGTCAGGGATTTGCACGTTAGCCTAAGCTAATATGGTTGGTCCCTGCAGAAAATAGCTATATGGATGGGAGGGCAAGGTTTGAGAGGTGTGGCGGGTACAGCATAGAGGTGAGGGCAGTTGGGGGGGCACTGGGCAGAGCAGGGGAGGGCAGGGATTGAGAGACCAAGAGGGGCCTGTTTTGAAGAAAGTGATGGTAAACAGTAGTGTGTGCTACTGATGGGTAAAATGAGATGTGGACCTCTGGGTGGCATTCATTACAGAGTGACAGGTGGAGATTTGAGAGACGAAGCAAGCCGGAGCCTTGGCAGTAGGGAGGAAGTGGCTACAACGGTTTTCATTCCTGCCCCGCCATGCTCTGGAAAGCATGGTCAAATTAGTGTTGTTACACTCTGTCTGCCAGCGGGAAAACATGCAAGTATGCAAGTGAAACTTTAAATGGAAGATATTTCTTTTTTTGTTGTTTTTTTTTTTGGGACGGAGTCTCGCCCAAGCTGGAGTGCAGTGGCACGATCTCGGCTCACTTCAAGCTCCGTCTCCTGGGTTCAAGCGATTCTCCTGCCTCAGCCTCCCGAGTAGCTGGGACTACAGGCACCCGCCACCATGCCCGGCTCATTTTTTGTATTTTTAGTAGAGACGGGGTTTCACCGTGTTAGCCAGGATGGTCTTGATCTCCTGATTTCGTGATCACCCGCCTCGGCCTCCCAAAGTGCTGGGATTACAGGCATGAGCCACTGTGCCTGGCCTATATGGAAGATATTTCTAACTAGAAATGCAGTAAGGGGCAGGAGGCAAGTCTTCTGAAACTCAAGGCTTTATCAGAGATTCTTACTTTCAGCACAGTGTTTTATAACTTAGGAGAGCATATTTTGTCATCATTATGGTACTGGATGGCAGCAGCCACTGAGATGACCGAGCTGAGCCAGCATAAAATCCCGAGGAGACTTCGTTGTCTTTGAACTTCGACGTCGTCCCTCATGCCCTCTCCCTTCGTCCACCCAAACCCTGCAGATCATGTCTGCACCCTTAACTGTGATTAGAGCTACTGTTTGTAAAGAAGCTATATGTTAGCGATAGACAACTTTATCTGTTCATTGTAACAAATATTAATGAAGTCCTAGCTTACAGATATGTTGATGGACTATGTTCCCCATTATCATGACACCCCCAAAGTGGATAAACAAATGGAATGTCAGAATTCCATGCTAACTGAGAAGTTGTGGAATAAAAAAATTTTTTTTCTGTCTTTTTCTCAAAGTGATCAGAATCTTGCCCATAGTCTGTCATCATTAATAAGTCTGTTTTTGGAGTCTATTGTGGCATAAAGAATTAGGCATGGTAATTTACAAAATCTGATTACCAAGAGAATCCCTATCTGCTAGCAGTTGAGAGCATCTTAAAAAGATCCAAGTTAGATACAGAGCAGTTTTGCAGTGTACTAGCTATGTGGCTTAGGCCAATTATTATATTTAAGTTCTGTGAGATGCAATTTTGTCATCTGTAAAATGAGAGTAATAATGTTTACCTTACTGTGAGGATTAATTGAGGTAACACTCATCTAGAGCGGTACCCAGCATCTAGAAGAGTGCTTGGCTGATTGTGGGTTCTCAATAAATATTCCTTGAAGAGAATGAATAAATGAATGAGTGAATGAATGAATGAGTTGGCTCAGTTGTAAACCCTCTAGGTACAAAGTCAGCACTCTTTCATATATATTTGAGAGTAAGCCCAGAAAGAGGACATAAATCAAATTTCATCGAACAGCCTTTTGGGAATACGTATACCGCTTACACACACACACACACACACACACACACACACAAGTTTAAAATTAGAATGTTTAAAACAGTCTAATCAGATGGTCTGTCATTGGCATGACAGTGAGAACTACCAGAAAGCATGAGAGGAGAGCTGATAATGGGGAAGGGAGTGGCCCAGAGAAAAGAAAGGCAGCGATAATTCTAGAGACAGAAATCAGAGAAGGCAAGAGGAGGAGGTTTTCAGTGGCTTCCAAACACATGTGACCTCTGCGTATCAGACACAATCTAGCTGAAGGCTAAAAAGACCAGAATTTTTGTTGAATAAATTGAATTTCTACAGAACAAATACCGACTGATGTACTCATGAGCATGCACAGGCCCCCTGTCTGCCCCCCTCTCTCTTTCTCCCGTCCTCTCCCCCCATTCCTTTCCTAAGAGGTAGATAAACTTGTTACTTACAGAAAATGATAATCTGTCTGGCTGACCCGTGCTCCACAGCTCTGTTCAAGAAAAACACAGACAGTGAGCACGTAAACCTTGATTACTAGCAGAGACACAGTGTCACCATGCCCTGAGTTTGAGACTCCTGCCATTTCCATATGCTGTTTTGCAATTTATCCTCATGGTGTTAGCAGGATAAACTGATCCGTTGCATTAATAAGTGTTGCAAGTAGTACTTTAGTGCCCAAGAGGAATTTGGAAAGCATCTCATACTTGCCAGATCTCTTTTCCTAGGTAACATAATAGGCTCTCTTTCCCCCAACTGATTTTATTCCCCATAAGATGCCCAGAGTAGTTTAGTATAGGTATCCCATGTGGATGAAGAAGAAAGTGGCCAGCTTGATGAAATCACTGAGACCTTGGATACCAGGGGAGGAATTGCTTGTCTGGTAGGGATGTAGCTTTTTCATGGTGTAGCTTATTGAAGACATGCAGCCTGGGTGGTGAGCTTCACCATGGCCTCCTCCTTTCTCCCCAGTTCCTGCACATCATTTCTTAGGACAGAGACCAAATTCACATCCACAGTCACAAAAAAGGGTCATTTGTATCACCTACCTTTATTTTCCCTGGGCTTTGAGGTAAATGTAATATTTTGCAACTGAAAAGTACAGTTTGCTCAGGAAAGCAGAGTAAGCAGAAAAAAAATCATTTTATCTGGAAATGAATGAGCCTGATGATTAGATGGAACAGAGTCATCCAGTCTTGGATTCAAATCTGGCTCTACAACTCAGTCTCAAATTTGACCCATAAAGCTGTTCAGTCATCTTTCCCAAAATTAGCAGTGTCCATGCAAATGGTTCAGTTAGCCAAAGAATCACAGAGTACACTCATCCCCCATTGTGGCTTATCTGTGGCAGAAATTCCTGCTTCAGAAATGAGGCTCTCCCTCTGACCAAAAGAGGCTTTCTCTAATTATGTGCTTGTGACTCTGTCTTTTCTAAAAGCATCCACATTTTTTAGGTGCTGACTGTGTGCCTGGTTTGGAGCCAAGTATAGAAAGTACAATTGCCCTCAAGGTGCAGATGCTGCCCTCGAAAAGCTTTGCCGACCCTGACTCTGGGGGTTCTCCCCTCACTTGGACCTAGTGCCCCAGTGGGTAGATAAGAGTGGGCTCTGCCCGTGTTGCCCCATTCATCACTGGGGTTGATTCCACTAATCTAGCAAGTAGGGTCATTCATTCATTCATTCCTCACTGCAGCTCTCCTTCTATAGTTGGGACACTCTTGACTTTCCATCAGTTCGTTGAATTCTCAGTGTTGCTGTTTTGTGCCCCTGGGGGTTTTCCACCTACTGTTTTTTCATCAGCCTAATTTTTACTCATCTACCAGCCCCCAATGAAAGTGTCTCTTCTAAGTTTTTCCTGACTCTCTAGAGCAGCTCTGACTACTGTAGGTCCCTTTTGAAGCCTGCCCAGTACTCACCAGACTTGTTAATACTTTCCAGTATCTGGCCCTTCCACAGTGATGTAAGATCCATGAGGACAGGAACCGTGGTCTCCCTTATTTCCCAGCTTATCCCTGTAGTGTCTGGCCCATAATGGGTGCTCAGTAAATGTGGAATCTGTAATGTGAATGCATGAATGAATGAATGAACAAATAAATGAACAAACTGGTCAATGAATTCTAGTTTCACTTTTCCAAAGGTGGATGCAACACCAGAGATGGAATTTTTCTTTAATCAATAGTATGTAAGGAGCTATAATTGCCAGCTAGAAAGTACAAAGCCTGAGCAGGGAAATCCATTAACCCATAGACCATCTTTGTCCCAACAATGTTTTGGGAGCAGTGAAAGAAGTCAGCTATTCGTGTTGAGGAGAATTGGAAAATGGTGGAAATAGGTAAAATATAGAGCTTATAAAATTCTCTGTGGACTTCATTTGGCACCAATATTTAGTTTCAAGGAAATTTCCAGAATACAGACCACACAATTGTACTTAAATATAAATAAAAACAATACTTTCAGGCCAACATCAAGAATTTGGGGGTCATCCCCTGTTTATATTACCCCAATCATTCATTGAATTCTATAATCAAATATTGACTGTGGCTTTCTTCTTAGTCTGTATTTTATTTTTTTATTGGAATATTTCCTTGCTTACAGCTTGCCGTATTGCAGACTATTAAAAATCCTGAGTCTGTGCAGAAATATACTGGGTTCTAGTGCCATTCCTGTCCCTGCTAGCTTGGTTAGAAAGGGCCCTGTTCCTCTGTGCAACAACTTTCCATTTATACGTGAGGAGCTACGGAGACCTTTGCCTCATTAGGGAGCTGCCTATGAAAGTCTCTCTGAAAGGACTTACATCATAATAGGAATTCAGGTCCCCGAAATGGCACATTATCATGGTCTGAACCTAGTGCCACGTACACCTTGTCATACCTACATTTCATTAAGGGGAGTCATCCGCAAGCATCCGGGACTCCAAAAGCTCCTGGTGCCGTGTTCCAAGAGGAGTTCTTGACTTCACCTTCAAAGGATACTCCGTGATAGAGAAACTTTCGGAATGCTTTCCTGAGAGCCACCTTCTCGGTCCCCTAGTCCAAACCTCCTCCTGGAAGGAAGAAAGAATTGGCCCAGTTTCTGAAGCCTGTGTAGTAATAATTAGCAGTGGCACACTGGCACCACTTGGCACATAATTAGAGTCATAAGTAACTGAGTAAGTGGACCGTCCCCTAACTCACTTTGGGGTCTTATTCTGGACTCTGGCATGGTCTGTGATTGTTTTCCACCAGAGACTGGAACGAAGAATGTGGGAGTGGGGATGGTGGGCATGGGAGGGAGTTATAATGAAAGGAGCATGGAACTAGGAAGCAGACCTCAGGAATCCAGCCACTAGGCTAGCCAACACTTATTAAGCACCTTTTGTGTACCCAACTTGATAGAGCTGAGGGGCTTAGAGCTTGCTGCATGGCCTGAGTGGGCCTAGGGCAACTTTTCTAGGCTATTTCATCATCTTTAAGGTGACAGGGTTGAAGCAGGTGATCTCTGCTTCCTTCTGGCTCTAAACAGTCTGTGATTCATTTCAATAATTGGAAGTAAAGCATCCCCCACTCCTTTAACCTAGTAGGCATGAGCCAGGAATAACATCTGGCCTCCCGAGTCATGTGAACGCTTAGTAGAAGTAGAGGAATGCAGACCACAAAGCTTGTAGTCTATTCCAGCAGCTCAGAAAGTAGAAGCAATGCTTCATAGGTGCCCTGGACACCATTCTCCTCGCCCTGTTCCCTGTGCTAATCTGGTCACCATTCTTCTTGCCCTGTTCCCTGTGCTAATCTGGACTCCATTCTCCTTGCCCTGTTCCCTGTGTTAATCTGGTCACCATTCTCCTTGCCCTGTTCCCTGTGCTAGTCTGGTCACCATTCCCCTTGCCCTGTTCCCTGTGTTAATCTGGACTCCATTCTCCTTGCCCTGTTCCCTGTGCTAATCTAGACTCCATTCTCCTTGCGCTGTTCCCTGTGTTAATCTGCTCACCATTCTCCTTGCCCTGTTCCCTGTGCTAATCTGGTCAGGTCCCATCCATGCATCTTGCATTTGCTTCCCAGGACTAAGTGATTTAAAGGACACTTCAGCAGCAAGGTTGAGCATGTGACCAGTACAATGCCCAGTTCGAAAGTCGACTCCCTATACCGTGCTTGAACCTCTACCACACACATGAAGCTCAACTCTCCGTGGTTTGCTTTTGAGGAATCTGGGAGTCGCTTGTGCCCAAAAATCCTTTTCCTTCCCACGGATGAAAATGCAGCACGTAGTTGTGTTGTTTCAAATTTTACCTATTAAAAATTGTTTTGAGTTGATAAGAATTTCTCCCTCAAAATCTAAACTCATCTATGAAATTATTAATCATTAACACCTGTAATTTCATCTAATAAGGTTGCCTTTTTTTTTTTTTAACACCCTGATGGGATCAGACTTTTCTAAAGGAGGCTTGGAAGTTTTGACTGGGTAAAGAGGGAACTTCTGGAGAAAGCTGCTCTGGAGAAGGCAGCATTTGTGAGGCCACACTAAGAAGGCCGTTGGTGAGTCCTTCAGCCCAAGTGAAAGAGAAAACTTGTCAGAACTAAGAGGGATGGAAAGGGAGTAAAGACAAACGATGCTTACTTCACAGTGTGGATGTGAACTGGTCCAGCGCTAGGTCTGATGATTGGTTATGGAAGAGACTGCCCCCGCGGGAACTTACGAGCCTGAAGTAATGGGAGCTACATGTAAAGAGCTGCCTCATAGACCTTCAGAGAGAGGGAGACAGAGAGGCTTCTTTTCCCCAGCAGCATAAATGAGCCCATTTTAGCAAAAATAGCTGTAATTTGCACAAGCGTTAAGAATCTGCTTCCAACTGTAAAAAAATACTGAAATATCCAGGGCATAGCAAGGCTGTGGTTCGGCCCTGTGACATGATGTGTGATCTTGAAAAGTAATGAAAGTGGAAGAAGGCGTTGTAAAGATACCGCTCTAATGAACACAATTCTGTTTGCCAGCATTTTTTCCTGCTAGCAAATTATATTACTCCATCAACTTGGTAGAACATCAATAACATCTTCAGAGGATAGCTGTGAGAGCTGAGTTACTCTATGACAGGATTTTTGAAGACAATGTAATTTCATATTTCTCAATTTTCTTTGATTTTGTGCTGAGAAAATGGAAGACCATAATAAATATTTTCCACAAATGGTGTCTTAAATGGAATCACAGCTGGTAGCAACAGTATTCTACCGTTTATTTAGATGCTGGATTCCAGATTTTCTATGTGAAACAACCATGCTGGCAGATTCATTGGTTTCACATTTTTCTAACACTTTTTTTTTTTTTTTAAGGGATGAATTAGGCTTCACGTGTGAACTCCTGGTGGGCGCTGTGGGACGGGTGATGCTGGGCTGCCAGCTTGTTTGTACTCAGTGGTCTCAGAGTGTGTTAGGGTTCTTGCATTGATTGGAAATATTTCAGTTAAGAAGTTAACAACGTACATGACTGTTAGGTGAGGTTCAGTGAGGCAATGAGATGGCTGGAGAGAGCTGGGTTCAGGAAGCACAGGCTGAGTTCCGATCTCAGCCCTTTCACGCCGTGAAGACTTGGCCAAATCACCTCGCCTCTTGGAACTTTGGGTTCTACATTGCGTTAGCAACATGATAAACTGTACAGTTTTAATCAATGAAGTAGTGGATGTGAATTTGGCTTGTGGTGTATAAAGATGCCATACTTACTGTACTTACATTTATTAGGTAGTATAATCTTTGTTGTTTTGATATCATACCCAGGTTTCCGTAGGCTTCTTTTTCTTCTTAATATTCTGTTGCCACCATCCCCCCCCCGTCCACACCCCAACTCAACTCAGTGCTTATCCTTACAAAGCTTTGTTCTCAACTAGTTATCATGGTAAGTTTTTAGGTAATAGTTGTAGTATCTAGTATCTCCAAGAGTGATTGCTTTTTAAAAAAAAAAAAAAAAAGCAAAACTTCTACAAGTTAAAATAAATGTAACCGTGGTATAGCTGCATCCTAAAAGGCTCTTAGAAAATTCTGGCTGGGCACCATGGCTCACACCTGTAATCTCAGTACTTTGGAAGACCAAGATGGGAGGATTGCTTGAGGCCAGGAATTTGAGACCAGCCTGGGCAATATAGGGAGACTCCATCTCTACAAAAAATAAAAAAAATAAAATTAGCCAGGCATGGTGGCATACACCTGTAGTCCTAGCTACTTGGGAGGATGAGGCAGGAGGATCTCTTGAGCCAAGGAGTTTGAGGTTACAGGGAGCTATAGTCACAGCACTACACTGCAGCCGGTGGCAGAGCAAGACCTTGTCTGCCTGTCTCTCGCTCTCTCTTGCTCTCTCTCTTGCTCGCTTTCTCACTCTCTCACGCACTCTCTCTCTCTCTCTCGCTCGCTCTCTCTCTGGGGGAGAGGTGCCCTGTCTCTTGAAAGAAAACACCAAGGGGATGGGGAGGGGTTGGGCAAAGGGATCCTTATGGTGAGGAATCACCCACCCAAAAGGTGGGAGTAGGCAAGTGAGTGTAAATTAATGCTTCTTTGGCCTTTTGAGCACCTAGCGGGCAGCATGTGAAAGGCACAGTATTGCATCTGCAAGTATAATAGAACCTTCCATGTGAGTGATAAAAACTTAGTCTGTTGATTGAAAGGACTTAGAGAGCCTCTGAGGTTATAACATAATACCTGGATAAAGTGGAAATTACTTTAGTGGAGGATTTTTTTTAAATGCTCCTGTATTTTTTTACTGTAACCATTGTGACAATTGGTATTTTCAAAAGATGTCCACTACAATATCTCCTCCTCCACATTCTCCGTAATGTAACATTACCATTTCCCCATCAAAAAATTGAGTCTGGCCTGGCGTAATGGCTCATGCCTGTAATTCCAGCACTTTGGGAGGCCGAGGCGGGTGGATCACTTGAGGTCAGGAGTTTGAGCCTCAAGTGATCCACCCGATCCAACCTTGAGGTCAGCCTGGCCAACATAGTGAAACCCCATCTTTACTAAAACCCAAAACAATTAGCTGGGCACGATGGTACATGCCTGTAATCCCAGCTACTCAGGAGACTGAGGCCAGAGGATCCCTTGAACCCGGGAGGCGGAGGTTGCAGTGAGCCAAAATTGTGCCACTACACTCCAGCCTGGGCAACAAGAGTAAGACTCCATCTCAAAAAAAAAAAAAAAAAAAAAAATTCAGTCTAAATTCCCTCCCCTTGAATCTGGTTTTCCCTAAATGAAGCTCTTGTAACTGCTAGAATGCAGCAGAAGTGAATCAATGCGACTTCCAAGGCTAGGGTGGATGAACCCCTGCAGCTTCTGCCTTGGTCCTTGGCAACACTTGGCTTTCCAGAAAGGTCATTCTTGTGACATTCCCTCTTAGAACCAAGCTGCCATGTTTTGAGAACCTAAAAGGAGAGGCCACTTAAGTACTCTTGTTGATAGTCCCTGCTTGAGTTCATTTTTTGGTCACTTGAGCTCAGGTGCCAGAGGTGAAAATGAAGAAGCCATCTTGGAAATAGATCTTTGAGCTGCAGCTGTTTTGAGACACCCTTGGCCATTTAAGTCATCCTAGCTGAGGCCCAGATATAATAGAACAGAGGGGAGATATCCCTGCTGTATCCTTCGTGAATTTCTGACCCACAGAATATGTGACCATAAGAAAATGGTTATTATTTTATACCACTACATTTTGGGGTGGTTTCTTACACAGCAGTAGATGACTAGAACAACCATTTGCCATACATAGATGCTTAGATACCTCTCCTGCAACACTTCCAAACTAGCTTTTCCAAAGTACAGTGGAAAACTGGAAACAGGGCAGCAGTGTGGTAAGTGAACATCGCAGAATTAGCATGAGAACTAGTGCTTGCTACTTCTGGTCTTCAGTAGTGTACTTCTCTAGAAACATTTGAAATCAGATCACATCAATCCTCTAGTTTTGCTCCTTTTCCAAAATTGTGCTAGCTGCTCTAGTTCCTTTGCCTTTGCATGCTAATTTTACAATACTCTTGTCTATAGCTACAAAAACTCTTCCTGGGGTTTTGATAGAAATTGTTTGGCCTATATATCAATTTGGAGAGAATTGACAACTTCACTGTGTTGAGTCTTCCAATGCATGAACACAGTGTGGCTCTTTATTTATTTAGATCTTTCATCTGTGTTTCGTATGTTTTAGCATACAGATACTGTACATGGTATTTTTAGGTGTGTATCTAAGTATTCAATTTTACATTCATACCTAAGTAATTTTGTGTTACTGTGTTTTTTATTTTGGTTTTCATGTATGTCTTGCTAGTCTGTAGATATATAATTAATTTACGTGGGTTGAGTTTGTCCTGCTGCTTTACTTAATTCACTTATTAGATCTAGAAATGTTTTTGAAAATTCCTTGGGATTTTCTACATAGGCAATCATGTTACCTGTAAATAGGGGCAGCTTATTTTTTCCTTTCTATTCTATATCCTGTTATTTTTTTTTTGCCTTATTACACTGGCTAGTACTTCCACTATTATGTTCAATATGAGTATGGATGACAGCCATCCTTGCTTTTTCTCCCATTTTAGTGTGAAAGCATTCAGCATTAATGTTTGCTGGTGGAAATGGTACACAAGTTGCCCTTGGCTTAGTGCTCTTTGGATTCCCTCATCAGATCTGTAACTGGACAACAGATGGATATGCTCAGTCTACAGCTGGTTCTCACAATCCAGTGTATTTTTATCTATTGGGAACTGGTTGACTGAAATGGCATCTTCTCTTAGCTTGCTTTTCTGGTACATGAAACAAAGTACCTTGAAAACTGAATACTGTAGAATGTACTTCTGTGAAGGCTCCTCATATCTCAGCCTTCTCTTATCACGTTATGTATGATACCTGCTTATGCCCGTATTCAATGTGACACCATTCCTGCCACTTCTCTCCACTCTCTACCCTGCATTTTCCCAGAAGTTAAAGTCTGTATATGGAATAAACATATTGGCTGAGGAGAGAGGGACCAAAATGACTGCGTATGTCTGCTGTAGAAGCCAGCCCCACATGGTGCACAGACAGTTGTGCAGATTCTTGCTTGGTGCAGACTTGATTTCTGATCCATGATTCTGACAGTGTGAAGGGTCCTTGTCACTCTTTTCAGCCAGGCAGTCTTACCCTCATAGCGTTTCACTATGCATTGCCCTCAGCAAAATTGTGGCTCAGAAGAACTCCTAGACTCTGGCATTAGGTAGTCTCTTTCTAGACTCAGGCATTGGCCCTAGTTTTAAAGTGTTTTAAGTTGAATTTAATTTTTTTATATTTAAATCTTTTTATATCTTAATAGGTATTTAAAAATTAATTGGGAATGTTGTATTAGAGGTAAATTGTTAGATGCCGTTTTGACTGTGAGTATCTAGTTTAATCATTCAATTACTGATTTTGTCACAGGCAGTCATAGCCCCTGCTTTAAGTTGCCAAAATAGCAAACAAGCCATTAATTATATTTGCAGAATTTAAAAAGCATTGCCAGCAGCTTCTCAGGACCATCAAGTCAAACCCACATGGTTTTGCCACTTCCATGCCGTCAGGTGTTTGAATTCCTGCCTCACTTTGACAATGGCAAAATAAACAGATTCCCAAAGGGGAGAAATCTTTCTTTTCATGAACGTTTACTCTTCCCTCATCTTTTTCCCTTTCTTCCTCCCTTTGAAAAATACTGCTTGAGCAGTACTTATGGCTATGTGTTTGTGCTTTACCAAAAACTGTCAAAATCTTACAAGTTGATAAGTATGAATGGAATAAGATTATTCATGGCTGCAGGGGCTCCTCTGGAGACAAGATTAAAGGAACTACAGTAATTTGACCTCTAAGTAGGGATTTGATTCTCTAATTAAGCATAGGAAATGCATATACCCTTCCACAATGTAGAAGGAGTGATACATATTTGGTTTAGAGGGAGGGTAAAGAACTAGCCTTTTTGCCTGGCCTTCAGAGACTGTGAGAGGAGAGGGTGCCTGAGCAAAGAAAGCTCTGAATGCGTAGGTATCAGACATAGTTTCTTTTTTAAAAAAAATTTTGATTAGTTAATATTTTTTTTTTGAGACATAGTCTCACTCTGTCATCCAGGCCAGAGTGCAGTGGCACAATCTTGTCTCGCTATAACTTCTGCCTCCCAGGTTCAAGTGATTCTCCTGCTTCAGCTTCCCAAGTAGCTGGGATTACAGATGCATGCCACCACGCTCAGCTAAATTTGGACTTTTAGTGGAGACGGGGTTTCACCGTATTAGCCAGGATTGTCTCCACCTCCTGACCCCAGTGCTCGGCCTCCCAAAGTGCTGGGATTACAGGTGTGAGCCAGCGCACCTGGCCCAGACATATTTTCTTTAATGGTCGCTATGGAATTTGGAGGAGACCATTATAAGACACATGTGCTGAACTGTTTTAAATTGTATATTTTTAATGTAATAGCAACTACCTTGCAAATTGGTGTGCTAATAAGAGAGGATGGAAATGGGGTTACTTGCAGAGAGTTAGGTATATAAATAGTGCCCTCAATGTGTGATCATTCTTTGACTCTTGGAAGAAGGTGGCATTTTTCTCAATTTTCCCAGTACTATACTTTATAGTTAGCAAATTACACTGGATTTGATTTAGTGGTTAAGAATTCCGTAATCATTTTGCCTGGAATCAAATAATAGCTCTGCCATTTTCTAGCAAGTTACTTAATCTGTCTATGCTTCAGTTTCCTGATTGCTAAAATGGCAACAATAATAGTATCTGTCTCATAAGGTTGTTTAATTTTTAACAGCTTTATTGAAGCATAATTTACATATCATAAAATTCAACCATTATAAGTTGTACAGTTCTGAGTTTTAGAAGTTTTTATGGTTGTGCAAAAATTCTCACAATCCATTTTTAGAATATTTCTAGTATCTCCAAAGTTTTCCTGAGGCCTGTTTGCAGTCAGTTCATACCCATACCCAGCTCCAGGTAACCACATTTCTGCTTACTGTCTCCATAGTTCAGCTTTTTCTACAAATTTCCTATCAATGGAATCATATATGTAGCCTTACTTTACTGCTTTCTTTCACTCAGCATGTTACTAAGGTTCATTCATGTTGTAACATGTATTAGTACTTTGTTACTTTTTATTGCTGAGTAGTTTACATTGTATGGATATAGTACATCATATTTATCTACTCCCAGTTGATTATTTGGGTTATTTCCACTTTTTTGGCTATGATGAGTAATGCTGCTGTAAACATTCACATATAAGACCTTGTATGGACATATATTTTTATTTCTCATAAGTAGATTGATTCCTAATAATGGAATTCAGGGGCATAATGTTTAATCTTTAAAAAAATTGAGATAGCGCTTGCATACCATAAAATCCACTTTAAAAGTGTACATTTCAGTGGGTTTTTTAGCATATTTACAAGGTTGTACAACCATCACCATAATTTAATTCCAGAACATTGCCTCATGCAAAAAAAAAGCCTCATGCTTGTTAGCAGTCATCTCCAACCCCCTTTGGCCACATCCCATGGAAACTACTAATCTAGTTTGTGTCTCTGTGGATTTGCCTATTCGGGATTTGTCATATACCATTTCACATAAATGGAATCATATAATTTGTGGCCTTGTGTGTCTGGCTTCTTTTACTTAGCATAATGTTTTTAAAGTTCATCCATGTTGTAGCATGTATAAACACTTCATTCCTTTTCATGGCTGAATAATATTCCACCATACGGAGATATCAACTTTGTTTATTTATAAAATGATAGGCATTTGGATTGTTTCCATTTCTGGGCCATTATGAATAGCACTGCTATAAACATTCGTATACATGTTTTTGCATGGACTTGTGTTTTCATTTTTCATGGGAACACACCTAGAGGTAGAATTGCTAGGTCATATGATAACTCTGTCGTTTAATGTTTTGAGGAACTGACAGATCATTTTCCAAAGTGGCTGTACTATTTTACACTCCCACCAGCAGGGTATGAGGGTTCTCATTTCTCCACATGCTCACCAACACTTGTTATTATCTGTCTTTTTGGTTATCCCCATCCTAGTGGGTGTGAGGTGGTACTACACTGGCTTCGAGTCACGTTTCCCTGATGGCTAATCATGTTGAGCATCGTTTCAGGTGTTTATGAGCCATTTGTGTATCTTCTTTGGAAAAATATCTAGTCAGATCTTTTGACCATCTCACTCGAGTCTTCTGTTTAACTTTTTAGGTAATTGCCAAAATGTTTTCCAAAGTGCTTTACCATTTTATATTCCTATTAACAATATATGAGGGTTCCAGTTCTTCCACATCTTCACAAACACAAAAGAATAGTATTGATAGTTTGTTTGATTTTAGCCAAAAACTGTCAAAATCTTACAAGTTGATAAGTTGATAAGTATAAAACAAGATTCATAGCTGCAGAGGCACCTCTAGGAACAAGACTAAAGGAACTTGTAATTTGAGTAATTTGAGTAATTTGAGCTCTAAGTAGGGATTTGATTATCTAATTAAGCATAGGAAATGCATATATACTTCCACAATCTGGGAGAAGTCATATATATTTGGTTTAGAGGGAGGATGGAGAACTAGCCTGTTGACCTGTGGTAAAGGGTACGTGGTGGTGCTCATTGGAAAACATTTTCCTGGTACCTAATTATGTTGATCATTTTTTCCTGTACATATTTGGCATTCATATATTGTCTCTGTAGAAATGTCTATTCAAGTCTCTTGACCATTTTTTCTTTTCCTTTTCTTTTTGGCTTTGTTTTATTGAGTTCTTGATATATTTTGGATACAAGCCTTCAATCTGATGTATATTTTGCAAATAATTTCACTCTGTAAGCTGTCTTTCCATTTTCTTTTTCTTTTTCTTTTTTTTTTTTTTTTCCCCTTGGGACAGTGTCTCACTCTGTCACCCAAGCTGGAGTGCAGTGGCCCAATCTTGGCTCATTGCACCCTCCTCCTTCTGGGTTCAAGTGATTCTTGTGCTTCATCCTCTCAATTAGCTGGGACTACAAGCGCATGCCACCACACCCAGCTAATATTTGTATTTTTAGTAGAGACAGGATTTCACCATGTTGGCCAGGCTGGTCTCGAACTCCTGGCCTCAAGTGATCGACCCGCCTCGGCCTCCCAAAGTGCTGGGATTACAGGTGTGAGCCACCACGCCAGGCCTCCATTTTTTAAATGTATCTTTTACAGAGTAGATGTTTTTAATTTTGATGAAATTTTTCCATTTTTTTCTTTTATGAATCATATTTTTGGTGTCATATTTAAGAACTCTTGCCTAACTCAGGGTCATGAAGATTTTCCCCTACGTCTTCTAAAATTTTTACGAGTTTGTATTTAGGTCAATGATCTATTTGAGTTCATGGCCTCATCATTGACCTTGATATATAAGTTATGAAGTTCAGGTTGAAGTTCGTTTTTCTTCCTAGACTAGACTATACATTTTCCAAAGAAGATATACAAATGGCTGATAAACACATGAAAAGATGTTCAACATTATTAACCATTAGGGAAATGCAAATCAAAACCACAGTGAGATAGCACTTCACACCCACTGGGATGGATATAATAGAAAAGGTAGATAACAGGTGTTGTTGAAGATGGTTAAAAATGCCATCCTTACTCCATTGAATTGTTCTTATGCCTTTGGGAAAAAAAAAATAATTGGCTACATTTGTGTGAATCAATTTCTTGAATTTCTATTGTGCTCCATTCATTTTGTGTCTATCTCTTTGCCAGTGCCACACTGTCTTGATTACTGTGGCTTTCTAGTAAATCTGAAAATTGGATTGTGTGAGCCCTCCAATTTTATTATTTTTTAGAATTGCTTAGACTCTTGTAATTCCTTTGTGTTTCCATATAAATTTTGGAAACAGTTTGTCTATATCTACAAATATCAAGCTTGGATTTTTATTACAGTTTCACTAAGTCAATTTAAAGAGACTCATCATCTTTACTATATTCACCTTCATTTTTAAATGGTAGTTTCTCCGGATATAGGTATCTCGGTTAATAGTTTGTTTCTTTTGACACTTTGTATCATTTTCCTGCCCTCTGTCTTTATTTCTTTGGGGGGTGGGGGCAGGGTGTAGAGACAGTATATCTGGTGGTTTTGGTTTGGGAACTGAACATTTTAAATAATGTGTTATAACTGCATTCTGTTTTGTTCTGAGAGTAGTTGGTGAGCATTTTGTGGTGTATTGTTTTGTAACTTGCTTGGACTTCAGCTGCAGAGTGTGGAGTACGCAGTGGAGCTCATCAGTATTGTCTTTGCTTAGTGTCTTATTCTTTTTCTTCTTTTTTGTGATGTGGGCAGACCATTAAGCTATGCAGAAGACACAGGGGGACCTCTAGGAAATACCTTGAGCCTATAAGGCTTCCACTCTGCTGGTCACTTGTGTGTGAGAAGATACATTTAAGGTCCTCAAATCTCCTCTGATTTTTACTTTTGATGAGGTTCTTTTGGGTCTCCCTTGTGTACATGCAATTTCCCAGTTATCCAGGTGATACGGAGAGTTGGTCTCATTCCTTCTAAGGCTGACTTGGGGGTGAATGGTAGATGGGAATAGCCTCAGGCAAGAAGACCATAGAATCCTGATTTTCTTACCTTAAAATATAGTTATTTTTAAAAAAATAAACACTTCTCAATTTTTTGTCTACCTTAGATCAATTTCTGATGCCCTAAAGTGGTTGCCTTTGGCAATTTTGACTAGTTTTGTACTCATTTTCTATGGACAAGAACTACTAATTACTTTACACCATCATTACCAGAGTCTGCTTGAATAAGATTTTTTTTTTAGAATAAATTCAACTCAAAGTCCTTAGGACAGTGCCTGACATGAGGCAAAGGCACTAACTGTATGAACTGCTGTTACTGTAATTACCATTATTCTTACTAGTGATGCAGACAACTAGGCAGCCCCACCTCCCAGACCTATTCATGGTTGTCCATTACGATCATTTTTTTAAGGGATCCTCTTCCTGGCCTCTTATTTTTAGTAACTCCTTTGTCGTAGAGCAAGTGTCAGCAACTGTTCTGTGAAGAGCCAGGTAGTAAATATTTTCAGCTTTGCAAGCCATACATCCTCCTACTTAATTCTGCTCTTGTAGCTTGAAAGCAGCTGTGGACAATATGTAAATGAATAGACACGGCTGTGTCCCAACGAAACCTTATTTACAAAAGCATGTTGCTCATGGGATTTGGCTTGTGAGGTGGAGTTTACCAGCCTCTGCTATCGCCTCACTTTCTCATGATTCTGCATCTAAGCAGTGCTAGCTGCTCTGCTACAACAGGCTATATTTTTTCTTTGAAAATCTTCAAAGAAGAGAACATCTCTGCTTCCCAGCACCACAATACGGCACCTTCCAACACCTGTGCTATGGAAACCCATCCTATGACTTCTTCAAGGTCTGTGGGCTCTGAGTACTTGGCATCTGTAGTGATTGATTTCAATAAAGTACCAGTAACACTACTGAAATCTATGTCAACAACATCACATGAGTATAGGGTTGTTAAACAACATTGTAGATACAGATACATACGGCTTGGTAAGCTCATTGATGCCAAACTATATTTCATCTTCTATTTTAAAGTAAATTGTGCAGCTTTTTATTCATATTTAATTTTTATGACTCTCCTCTTTTCTTTCCAAACAAGGAAAAGGTATGGGTTTTTTTTAACGACAATGCTCCTTTCTTACTGATGTAACACTCAATCTTTGAGATCGTTAAATCCCTAGATTACCTATTAACCTGACTGCTCTCCGCAAACTGGCTTTGTACTCAGAAATTAAAACAGAACATTAAATCAGTTACATTAAACAGAACATTAAAAAGTCTTAATTAAGACTTTTAAAATTATTAAATAAATCACATATTGTGAAGGATATATAAGTCACAGATGAACTGTTTAAAGAATTGTAAAGAAAGTATGTTACTTTCTTACGGTCTTCGTGGATGTAGAGAGGCTTTAAAACGCTTGAATACTACTGTTTCTCCTACTGATACATATGCTATAATTGTTGTGTATTTTAATTTTTACCATATTTTAACCCACAAAAATTATTTTGTCAGTATTCATAGATTTGCCCATATTAAGCATTCTCTTTGTCCATTTTTTCTTGTATCTTAGACCATCCATCTGGGATGATTTTCCTTTCAACTAAAATGTTAGAAATTCCTTTTGTGAAGATCTGGTGACAAATTTTCAATTTTTCTTTGTCTAAAGATATTTTTATTTCATCTTTATCCTTTTTAAGAGATTTATTGAGAGACAGTTTATACAGCTTACAATTTATCCATTTATTTTTTTTATTTTTTTTTTTTTTTAGTATTTATTGATCATTCTTGGGTGTTTCTCGGAGAGGGGGATTTGGCAGGGTCATAGGACAATAGTGGAGGGAAGGTCGGCAGATAAACAGGTGAACAAAGGTCTCTGGTTTTCCTAGGCAGAGGACCCTGCGGCCTTCCGCAGTGTTTGTGTCCCTGGGTACTTGAGATTAGGGAGTGGTGATGACTCTTAACGAGCCTGCTGCCTTCAAGCATCTGTTTAACAAAGCACATCTTGCACCGCCCTTAATCCATTTAACCCTGAGTTGACACAGCACATGTTTCAGAGAGCACAGGGTTGGGGGTAAGGTCACAGATCAACAGGATCCCAAGGCAGAAGAATTTTTCTTAGTACAGAACAAACTGGAGTCTCCCATGTCTACTTTCTACACAGACACAGCAACAATCTGATTTCTCTTTCCTTTCCCCACACTTCCCCCCTTCCACTCGACAAAACCGCCATCGTCATCATGGCCCGTTCTCAATGACCTGCTGCGTACACCTCCCGGACAGGGCGGCTGGCCGGGTGGGGGTGTCCCCCACCTCTTGGAGGGGGCGGCTGCCGGGCGGAGATGCTCCTCACCTCCCAGACGGGGCGGCGGGGCAGAGGCTGCAATCTCGGCTCTTTGGGAGGCCAAGGCAGGCGGCTGGGAGGTGGAGGTTGTAGCCAGCCGAGATCACGCCACTGCACTCCAGCCTGGGCACCATTGACCACTGAGTGAACGAGACTCCGTCTGCAATCCCTGCACCTCCGGGAGGCCGAGGCTGGCGGATCACTCGCGGTTAGGAGCTGGAGACCAGCCCGGCCAACACAGTGAAACCCCGTCTCCACCAAAAAAATACGAAAACCCGTCAGGCGTGGCGGTGCACCCCTGCAATCGCAGGCACTCGGCAGGCTGAGGCAGGAGAATCAGGCAGGGAGGTTGCAGTGAGCCGAGATGGCAGCAGTACAGTCCAGCTTCGGCTCAGCATCAGAGGGAGACCGTGGAAAGAGAGGGAGAGGGAGACCGTGGAGAGGGAGAGGGAGACCGTGGGAAAGGGAGAGGGAGACGGTGGAAAGAGAGGGAGAGGGAGACTGTGGGGAGAGGGAGAGGGATTTATCCATTTAAAGTGTATACTTCAGTGGTTTTCAATATATTTTAATATATGTGCAACCATGACTACAGTCAATTTCAGAAGATTTTCATCATCATCAGAAGCCCTGCACCCTTCAGCTCTTCAATCTTATTCTTGAAAGATGTCTTTTGGGATGTAGAATTCTAGAGGAGGAGTTTGTTTTCCTCAGAACATGGAAGATGTCATTCCACTGGCTTTCTTTCAGCTTCCACTCTGCAACTGCTTGTCAGCTCTCTGGGACTCTTGCATGTAATCTGTTTCCTTCTGTTACCGGCAATCATGTCTTACTTACCATTCCAAATAAGTTGAACGAAAGGAAGGATTTCCTACTAGACCCCATCCTGCTGGGGAGACAGTGGGCTTGCTCTTTTGTCCCCCAAGTCCCACAGAGCAGAGGAGGACAGAGACTCCAGCAGACCAGCAGTTCAGCTATTCTGCTTATTTGTCAGGAGTCCTTCTTCACTCACATTCTGGCCTGACAATGCCTTCCTATCTTGCCAGCATCTTACTGCTTTTTAGAATATTTCATCGAGCGTTCTACATTGTTTTCAGTATGCTCCCATTGAATCGGTATAGCTACCATGCCTGCTGCATTTCTAGGAGTAGAATATAAACCAACTTTTATAAACTTGAACTAAAACGTTCAAATAAATTTAAAATTTTCTGAAAATTTTAAACTTTCTGCTGTTAAGTTTCTTGAGGAATGATCTGAATGATATGACCATCTTTGGAGGGCTTGAGTGTGTACATTCAGAACTTTATCCCACACAAGGATAGACTATACAGAATAAATGCAGTTTTTGTAGGGAATATCTCATTACCATTTTTTCTCAAGGATGTATTAAACTAAATTATGGTTATTTTATACTTCAGTTGTGCTAGCCAGCCTTTTTGAAATCCTTCAAGATGTCATCAAATGTTTCACACTCTAAAAAAATAGTGCTGTCATATATGAGACAGGCAAAAGGACAGCATTATCACTGTTAGGAGTCTTCAAGAGGAAACTGTTTACATGAAGTGGAGGACTGTCCTGCCTGCCTGGAAGATGCTGGCCAGTCCTCACCCCTGCGCCACACTGAGGGCCATCCACACAGCCCCTGAGGTTTCCCTGCTGCCAGCCAGGCTGCTCGCGGGCATGAGAGTGAGGAAATTTTTAAGTCCAGTGTGAAGTGAAAATAATTGAACACACTTAATATAAAAGTTACAAATATAGGCAAGAGTTTCTCAGTGTGTTTTCTAGAAGGAAAGACCAAAACCCCAGTTTGGTTCATTATTGGATGCTTAGTCCTATCTGCAACATAAGTCTTTCCCTTAATGAGGACACTCACCCAGAATCATCTCAACTACTCCAGGCTTTCCTGTGTGTTGCTGCCCAAGCCCCTTGTATTTTAAAAGAAACAGGCAAATGTAGCAGTAGTTCAAGTGGTTTTCTGTTTTTTTGTTTGTTTGTTTTTGGCTGTGGAAAATGACCATTTTGATGCTATCATGCTTTTTTTTTTTTTTTTTTTTAGTGATTCTCCCCACCCCCAACCCAGTGTGTAATCTCCATGTGGGTGCAACAGTGCATTCCACTAATTACCATACATTTACTAGCCCTGGAAACTTAATAATACTAGTTTGTGTTCGTATGGAGTTGTATACATTTCCAGATGCTCTCCAATCTCTTATCACATTAGTTGTGAAATAGTCATTCAACTAACTGGAAGAGCCATGTCTTCAGCCCAAATCTTGTATCTCCTTCATTCTAATTTATCTACTGCTTTCCTACCCTCTGTGCTCCTGAGTCTGAATAACATGGACATTTCAGATAATTGAAAGTCTCTTTTATTCTTATCTGATTAAAGATTCTAATAATGGATCATGTGCAAAGTAACTCTTAATTGTCAAACTAATAAGAGTAAGAAAACCCTACTTCTAAAAAAAATATGTATTTATTTGTAGAGATAGTCTTGTCTGTCACTTAGGCTGAAGTACAGTAGCACCATCATAGCTCACTACAGCCTCAAACTCCTGAGCTCAAGTGATCCTCCCACCTCAGCCTCCCAAGCAGCTGGGACCACAGCTGTGCAACACCAAGCATGGCTGACTAGTTAAATTGTTTTTTTTTCCTTTTGTAGAGATGGCATCTCACTATGTTACCCAGGCTGCACTTGAACTCCTGCCCTGGAGCAGTCTTCTCTCCTTGGCCTCCCAAAGCACTGGGATTAAGGGTGTGAGCCATGGCGCCTGGCCTAAACCCCACCTTTTGAGTGAAGGACCTATTTGGTGGAAGGTTTTAAGAGAAGTAGAAATGTATCTCAGTTTATGAAGTAAAAGAAATGCAAGAAAAATTTCATTGCATTAGATAAAATCTCACTGTGATGTTGTCAAATCCTGTGTGACACCACGAATTTTCTTTCTGTTACTCACATAGAGATGGGGGAGTGCAGATCCATCTTAATGATATGAGGCCAATAGTACATATCAGAAACCAAACAAGAGCTGAGGGTTCAGTCTGGGCTGGAACCCAAGTTCTTTTTCTTTTGGAAACAAGAATTCACGGCCCTGATCTCCCTGTCACCAACAAAGCACAGCAGTAGAGGTGATGGAGAAGCAGTGATTCATCACCCACTTGGGAAACAGCACCTCTCCAGAGTAGCAGCCTGGGTGAATTAAGGTCATGGTAAGAAGTAGTTCTCCGTGTTCTGAGGTGGTTTCATGACTGTGGGGCCCATCTTTTTTTTTCCCCTTTGGTTTTGTTTCCTGATGTTAGGACCTTTTTTTTCCCTCCCAGCAACAAAAATATATCATATTACTAATAAAGTTATCCTACCACAAAGGCATAAATAACTTCCATAAAACAGCTGCTTTAAATTAAACAGAGCCTAAGGAACATCAGAAGACTGACTCTATGTGCCTCTTCATGCCTCTTTGTCCCGTTTACTCCTGGCATATGACACTGAGTTTCTACATTTGCTTTAAGACCTAAAGCGAAGCCTTTTAATGTTCACTGTGGGCTGTTGCTCCCTCTGCTATTATTCTAGCTATCAAGTCTATGTCTGTCTAATGTCTTGAAACAGCATTGGAAGGCTGTTATATACTGTTCATTGAATGTATCATTTTATTTCTACAGAAGGCTCAAAATTTAGTAAAATTCCAAATCTTTTGAAACTTGAGGCTATCTCCTGAAGTCCATCATTTCTAAAAGTGAAAAAGTAAAATCCAGTGCCCTGATTATGAAAATTTTCAAATGTACACAAAAATAGAATAATATGAACTTTCATATGTCTATCATCCAGCTTCAGTAATTCTTATCAAGATTTTGCCACGCCTACCTTATCCCTCATCCTTCTTCTTTTTCCCTTTGCTGAATTATTGTAGTTTCTGTGCAATTCTTAGCATTTTTTAATCTGTGACTTGCTGTCTTTAGTTTTGAAAATGTTCCGCCATTACAGCCATATGTATGTATGTATGTATGTATATATACATGTATATATATGTATGTGTATATATGTATGTATATATGTGGGTATATATATGTATGTATGTATATGTGTGTATGTGTGTGTGTGTGTATATATATAGCTTCTGCCCCATTCTCTCCTTTCTCTCATTTGAGATTCCAGTTGACACATATGAGACCTCTGCTCCTGTTTATTTCTGTTACATTGTCTCTGTATCTTTGATGGATATGTTCATTTGACCTACCTTGCAGTTCACTAATTCTTTCCTCAGCTCTGACTAATCTAATGTTAGACTGTTAAGTTCTTAATTTTAGTTTTCTATTTTTCAGTTCTAAAATTTCCACTGGTTATTTTTTACATAATTTCTGATTTTTCTGCTAAAATTCTTACATATTATTTAAGTTCTCAAACATATTTATGAGCTATTTTAAAGTCTGTGTATGAGAACCTTACCATTTCAGTACCTGTAGGTCTTATGTCACTGTCTATATTGTTCTTCTTGGTTTTCAGAGAGTTCTTGTCTTTTTGTATGCCGGGTTATAATTTTACCAAATGCAGAACATTATACAGAAAATTTGAGATAAGTTGAGGCTGAGGATGATGTTATCTCCTTCAGACATGTTTACTTTTGCTTCTGGGAATCAGGATAGAAAGAGTTCGTACCTTAATCCAATCAGGATTTGAAGTGATTCATTCTTTGTAATGGCTGCTTTATTTCTAATTTACTATACCTAGATAGATTGTAGTCCTTTGGTGGTCAGAGTCGAAAGCCAGGAATGTTTACTGGAGCTCCTTGTTATCATTGTTGATCCCTGAATTCCAGTTTCTGTGTCTCCTTTTCTATGAGACTGCCAAAAATATTGCTCAGCTGGTGAGCCTCTCTGTCTCTAAGATCATCAAAGGGAAAAGTACCAATGAATACAAGGTTCACCTTCCACTCTTTCCATGATCTTGACTTTTCAAGATCTTGCTGCCTCAGTGGCTCCTTGATACCTTCAAACAGATTCTTAAAAATACTTTTTTGTCTATGTTTTCCTGTTTACAGCATTTCGTGTTTTCAGCAGCAGATAAGCTGCTTGGTCTGAAATAAGCTACTCCACCATTGCTGGAAGCTGAAAATCTGCTGAAGATACAGTTGGCCCTCTAAATTCATGGCTTCTGCGTTGAGTGATCTCTGCTGGATTGAACTGGATGCAGAACATGTGGATATGCAGGGCCAGCTGTGTTTTTGATCTGCAGTTGTTGGAACCTGCAGATGCTGGACCTGGGGATTTATAACCCAGCGATACCATGGGCTGACTGTAAGAGACTTAAACATCCACAGATGTTGGTATTTGTGGGGATCCTGGAACTAACGTCTTGTGCATACAGAGGACTGACTATATTTAAGTGAAATCTCAGATATTAGGTCATTTAATTCATACGTACCTCAGTTTTGTATCTCTGAAAAATGAGGACATTTTTTCTTCCATGCGCAATGCCATTTCATGCTCAGATTTCCTGGATTATCCCAGAAATATGTTTTTACAGTTGTCTTGGCTGAGTAAGGATACACAAGGTCTGCACCTCGTATTTGGCTGTTACATCTCTTACATCTCTTTTAATCTACAGTATTCTTCTCCCGCTACCATCTTTTTCTTTCGATGTGATTGACTTGTTGAAGATCCCGGGTCCGGGCTTTTGTAGAATTTCCCGTACCCCAGATTCAGCTGACTGCTCTACTTGTCCCTCTGTCCCTTGTTTTTTGCATGAAATGGGATTTGACTTTGCAGCCTTGGTTAGATTCAGCTTCAGTGTGTGGGGTTCTGTTTTGTTTCACAAGGATCGTTGAGGGGTGGTCAAAAATAATTCCTTCTGCGTCGGATGGCACTTAGTGTCTAGTTGTCCTCCTTCGGTGGTGCTAAGATTGATCAGTGGATTTAGATGGTGACAAGTTAATCCACCCACTGTAAAATTCTTTACCATCCTTTTATCTAATGGTTTCATCAAGTGATATTTTCTCCCCTCAGTCCAATAATTCTCCAGGAGTTGCAAAATGATTTTTCTAATTCTGTCATCATTCCACATTTATCAGCTAAAATTCATACAACTGGAGCTATTTAGTTACTCTAAGATACAATTTAAATAGGCAGGTTAAGTTCTCCTTTCAGGTTCAGTAATATGTTTTGCATCAGTTTTTAAAAAATAATTGTATTAACTTAGTTTGTGCTGCTACACCAAAATACCATAGACGGTAATTCACCAAGAACAGAATTTTTTTTTTTCTCACAGTTCCGGAGGCTGGGAAGTTCAAGTCATGAAATCCAAGATGAAGGTGCCAGCAGGTTGTCTGGTGAGGGCTGCTTTCCATTTCCAACATGATGTCTTGTTGCTACATCCTCTGGAGGGAAGGAACACTGTGTCCTTACACAGTGGAAGGCAAACAAGCTGAACACTTCGTGAAACCTGTGTTATAAGGGCTTTAATCCCATTCACAAGGGGAGGAGCCTTGATGACCTAATCACCTCTTAAAGGCCGGACCTCCAAACACTACCACATTGGCCATTAAGTTTCAGCATCTGAATTTTGGAGGGAACACATTCAAACCAAAGCAGTAGCCCTGAATAACAAAGGCCTTTTCCTACCCTGTGAATGCCAAAGCTGCCATCTGTAACGGAATAATGTGATTGGTAATTGTGTCACGTAGGACCAATAGAGATCAGCAACCTCAGCCAGACTGATAGAGATCCTGGCATCAGATATTTCTTCTCCATGTCCTTTTGACTTCAGATCCCAGTTCCCTGACTTTCAGCCTCCCTGTAAAATATATCAGTAAGATCTTGGTGCTTGTGGGTCTGAGTTAAAGCTGGTGTGTACATTTCCTTCTTTTCTCTGCTTGTTTAAACCCATTTCTTCTTATGCACTTATTCACCATAGAAACACCAAAAACATTTTTTTCCAATCTAGGCCAAGCATTCTGGAACATGTGATTGCTAGCATTATACCTGTGAAAGGAAAATTTATATCACCCAAACAAGTAAACTGCCTTGTTGAATGATTTTGTTGTTATGTAGTTTGCTTGTATGTTTTTGTGGAAGCGTTTCTATTTCTGAATCATGGAGTCAACTCAGACTCCACTGCACCCCCTTGGATCCCCAGATTCTGTTAAATCAGCTGCATAACCTTTCTTGTACCAAGTCCTTCTTTTCTGTTGATATTGCTGCTATCCTACCTCAAGTATTTTTGCCTCTAGGGTCTGTTTTCCAATTTTCTTGGTTTTCTATTGTGATAAAATATCTTCAGCCCCCTTTGGTAGTGCCTCACTGCTGGCAAGGTAAGTCCAGAGTTCCTAGCTTTGCGCGTGTGTGTCTGCACAGCCTGGCCTCACTGCTGGCAAGAGAAGTCCAGAGTTCCTAGCTTTGCACGTGTGTGTGCCTCTGCACAGCCTGGCCTTGAGTGCACCTCCCTTCCCACTCCCCTCCTCTGCTGGCCGGACCAGCATGCTCACTGCCCTTTGGCATTCAGCTTCCTATCCCATCACCAGAGCAACCATCCATCCCTTCCCTTGTCCCAGGATCCCATCATCATCTCCAGTGGAAACACACTCAGGCTCTGCCACTCCCCTGATCACTGTGGTCCCGGCTGCTCCCAGAGCACACATTGTGTGGTTTCACACATATTGACGGGGTTTCACCATATTGACCAGGACTGTGCCCTGGTCAGGTGGCTGTCACATGCCTTTCTATATCATGATTTCATTTGCCTCACCTGCAAACTACATGCTAACCAAGGGCAGGGACTCACTTTGGACTTCTGCAGATTGCTTATGGGGCCGGACCCGGAATCCAGTATCTTGTAGGTGCATCTTCCCCTCACCTTCTCACTCAGACTCCTGCTTTAGTCCTCACGGTCCTTGGACACACCTGATTGCTGCTTCACTTTGGACTCTTAATCCCGGTCTTTATTTTTGACAATCCTATCAAAAGATGACCGTCTTTTTGTCCTGTCAAGACTACTACCTCCAGGCCCTCTTCTCTCCCCATCCCTGCTCTACACCATGAAGTGGATGGAAGGCCACACCTTTGAAGAATGTCTCCCAGCAGGAGTGAGCTTGACCAGCTTTCCTTGGAGTTATACTCCAGCAAGGAATCATGATTTTTATTCTCTATGTCAGCTGGGAGGCCTCCAGAAACCAACCAGGCCCGCAATCAGCAGCCCCATAGAGCTGTGAGGCTGCCCTGGAAATATTTATTTGGAAGTGCCCCTGGACAAGCGCTTCCTCATGCTCTCCTTTGTAAGCTCTACTTCATTTTGAAATATCTGAGCTACCGGGGCAGGTACCTGTCATGGCGTAATGACACACCGCTTTCTCTGCCATCGTAGAACTGAAGATTGTCTTTCCTTCTGCTAACTGACATGACAGACATCTACTTAGTGGAGTGATGATTAGTGTAAGATCACTTTTTGGCCTTTAAGTTTAATGATGCTACATTCGTAGTAATAATATAACACCCCAAATCCAGGCGTGCTTTTCAAGGAAAGTGTCCAGGGCAGTTACCCTCTGATGATGGCGTCCTGCCCTTATGCCTTTTGTCTGGGGATCTTAAAGTCATTTCTACACAAATAGATAATGATGTTCATTTCGTAAGGGGTGAGAGGTAAAGTGATTGACCCCTTGGCATACTGAAGAGATGAAGAAAAATCCAGGACCCAGTGTCTCCTTTGTTGTTCCCCCTTCCGCTCCCTTTTCAGCCTTTTTTTTTTTTTTTTTTTTTTTAAGACAGAGTCTCGCTCTTGTTGCCCAGGCTGGAGTGCAGTGCTGCAATCTCGGCTCACTGCAGCCTCTGCCTCCTGGATTCAAGCATTTCTGCCTCAGCCTCCCGAGTAGCTGGGACTACAGGCGCCTGCCACCACGTCCAGCTAAATTTTGTATTTTTAGTAGAGGCGGGGTTTCACCATATTCACCAAGCTGGTCTCAAACTCCTGACCTTGTGATCTGCCCACCTCGCCCTCCCAAAGTGCTGGGATTACAGGTGTGAGCCGCCGCGCCCAGCCCCTTTTCAGCTTTTTAAAAGAGGCATGCCCAACTTTCTGTCGGTTTAAATACTTTCCTCCCAGGTACTGCTTTCTACTTCTTAAGAGCATGAATGAAAAAAAAAGTGTTTCTATATCACATTTCATGGGAGGAAGAGTTAAGATTCAGCGAGAGGGAATGGTTTGCAGATATGTGTGCATTTTCAGAGAACATACCTGTCTCTCCTGGTAAATCCGCCTCATCACTGTTATATAATAGAGCTTAGATGGGGTTCTCTGGGTTCATGGATGAAAAGCAGTTGGAACAGCGCCTGGCACATGGCAGGCCCTGCGTGAGTGATGGATTCTAGGTCATCTTAGTGATGTCTGTGGGCAGGCACCTCCGTCCCTGGAGAAGCAGCATTTAGAGTGTGCCCTTGCTCGTTCTCTCTGACGGTTGGGATATGCTTCCCTTCTCCTACCCAGCCAAGCCTCTCCAAATCCTTGGGAGCCAGTGTAAGTCCAATTTCCCACCTCCAGGAAGCCTTCCCCAGTCCAACCAACCATCAGTCACCTCTTTGTCTTCACAATACTTGTATCATTTTCTCAGTTCAATTCAACAAACTTGAACTGGACATCTAGGGTATACTAAGTTATGCCTTATTTGGGCGCTAAATCATGCTCCGTCCTGTAACATTGTTTTAACTCCTGCAGGAATGTTTATCTTGTGTCTAATGGGATGATTCAGCCTCAAGGAAAAAACTTTTTTTTTTTTTGAAACAGGGTCTCACTCTGTCACCCAGGGTGGAGTGCAGTGGTGTGAAACTGCAGCCTCAGCCTCCAGGGCTCAAGTGATCCTCCCACCTCAGCGTCCTAGGTAGCTGGGACTACAGGCATGCTCCACTACACCTGGCTCATTTTTGTATTTTTTTTTTTTTTTTAATAGAGAAAGGGTTTTGCCTTGTTACCCAGGGTGGTCTCAAACTCCTAAGCTCAAGCAATCCGCCTGCCTCGGCCTCCAAAGTGCTGGGATTACAGGTGTGAGCCATCGCACCTGTCCTGAAAAGCTCATTTAAACTGTGGTTTTGTGTGTGTGTGTGTGTGTGTGTGTGTGTGTGTAGGCATTTCCACCAGAGACAATTCTGCATATACAGCGGGGGCTCAGTATTCTCTAAGAGTAGGGGTAGGGGGTATTGGGGCCAGAAGAGGCCAAACTGCTCATATTTGGTTAAATCCAATATGGTAAATTCTTGTTGAATTGAAGTAATACAGCTCTTCACAGGGTCTGAAACAGCCCATAGCCGGAGTCGTGTGCGTCCTCTTTCTTTGGTCCACGACAACACCGTATTCTATTCTGTTCTATGTGAAAGGGTCCAGTATGGATTGAGTTCCTCCTGCATGTCAGACATCATGGAGAACGCAGATGGGGTGCCTGAATAAAAAGCACTATAATCCAGTGAGATGATAAATAAATACACACGTGCTCATAAGAAAGGTGTACCATGATGGACTCCACAGCTGAGATTCAATCAAAGGGCTTTGCGGTTAAAAGGGGGGTGTGGTAGGATCTAGTTGGGGGATGATGAAAACTTTGTTTATTCAACAAATATATATTGAGAGGCAATCTGCTGTTCCAGGGCTGTGCTAGTGCTGATGCTGATGCTTCATGGAAGAGCTTGGAGGAGGAGATTAGCACCTGTTCTCCCCGCCCCACCCCTCCCAAATATCAACGCAGAGCTCCAAACTTTTGTTTCTCTTCTCTAGTGTTTATGAGGGAGACCTTCTAGTCCTGTCATTTTTTTTCCCTAACACAAAACACATTCTGAGGAGCTGGAGACCAGTCCTGTGTCAATTCCCCTCAGTACTGCATTCTCCTGGATTGCAAAGCTGATTTCCTTTCAGTAGCTCATTAACATTCACAGCTAGTGTCTGCTTCCACTTTCGTAGTCTCCTGATGAAATGCTGACTGCAAAGGTGAGGGCTGCTGACACTGTTTGCCGTTTGGTTTCTTCCAGGATTTTTTTCCCAGGAAGCCATCCCGTCAGAGGGGTTCAAGTGATGAAAGTTGGCAAACTGCAGCTACATCAAGGCATGTTTCCCCAAGCAATGAAGAATCTGAGACTGGTGAGTGTGCCAAGATCTCACATAGTTCTGCCTGGCATCCTTTTTTTCTGCTGTTGCTGGGCCTCTTTGTGATTTGTTAGCAGCTCTATGTATGTGTGCACGCATACACACGCATGCCCAGTGTGTGCTGGTAAATGTTTAACAACCACTCTGGAAAAAACCTGCTTCATGACATTTGCCTATTTCTGTGATGCAGGCATGCCCACCATGGCTGATTTTAAATGTAAAATCAACCTTCTTATAAAAATAATATTAACAATTACTCTTGCCACTGGTACAAACCAGTCTGAGAACACCACTGCTCCTGTGCCCTCTCCACGTTTAGCAAGTTGACCTTGTTTGTGCCTCCTCCCCATTGCCCACGGAACACAGTCCGTGTCCCTCGCGTGGCAAGCCCTTGACCATCTGTGTGGCAGTTCACCTTTGCAGCCACTTCTCCCCGCCCTTCCTCTCTTCCTTTCCACCCACCCAGTGATCACTGCTGTTCACCAGGACCCACTGTGACCCTGAACTTCTCACTCCTCCATCTTCACACAGCTATTTTTTCCTCTGCCTTAAGTGCTCTCCGCATCACAACCCCCTGGGCTTGGCAGGACTCTGCTGATCCTTTAAGGCCCAATTCCAGTGTTACTTTGTGGTCCTACCCCTACAGCTCTCTGCCCACCCTGCCAGGAGAGCCCTTTTCACATTGCAGTAGGCATACCCGATGACCACCCTTACCCCTGCCCCCAGGAGAGTGTGAGGGCTTCGTGGTTATCTTGGCAACCAGCTCAGTGCCATGCAAGGGATCTGGAACTTAGGAAGTATTCATTATTGAGGGAAGGAGGAGGGAGGAAGCGAAGGAGGTCAGTGAATACGGTTCTGGCAATAAGTGTCAAGAAACTAATTGGGAGAACTGGTTTAGGGTTGGAATAGCTTGTTAAAACACGATGGTTAGTTTCACCCGCTCAGGGAGTCTCCTCTGCCCGGAGGAGCCCAGGGCTCTCTGCTGTCTGGCCCAGGCCTTCCCACCTCAGCAGAACTTCCTCTCCTCTAGTCCGTGACCCTTCCAAAGGAGAGCTCACATGCTCACCTGGCCAGGCACTGGTGGGTTGTATGGAGACCTGGCGTGCGGGTATCATAGGAAGCGCTTGACACTTTAACAGGACCCTCTGGGCCGCCATGCCCTTGTGTGCAGAAGAGTGACGGTGGAAGGATCGGGCGTCAGGGTTGCTCAGGGCGTGTCCAGGGGCCGGCTGATCCCAAAACACTGGCAGCCGCCCACATGGACCTAAGAGAAATGACAAATGCCGAAGGGATTCTTAAAAGCCAGATTCCACAGTGCTCATTTTCGCCGAATGCTAGCCATAGCGCCTTTACTTGATCTCTAAATAAAGTCAGCGTGTGGCCAACGGGAGTAACACTAGGATTCCCTGAGGGCACTCAGCTATTCTGTTCTTTTTATCATGTCTGGCATGTTTACCCAGGCGGGGGAAGAACACCGCACCGTCTGTTGCAGCCTCAGGGAGAACTTTCCTTTTCTGGTCTGGGGGTACTTGTCAGCCAGTCGAATCAGCAAGGTACAGCAAATCCTTATCAAGGGCCTACTGTGTGAAAGTCCTGACAGAAAAACAACGTGCAGGAAATTTCCTAATGTGCGATGCACCCAACACAGGGTCACCTGCAAGTAGATGTTCGTAAGTGATCAGACTAGACCTTTGTGTTTATATGGGACTAGAAACTATGAATACTGCTCGTACGTACGTGATCCGTGATCATACTCAGTCCCCATGACAGGTGACAGCTGTGTGAGGTCAATGGGACAGGCATTTTCATTCCTATTTGGAAAGTGAAGGCGCTCAGGTTTGGAGACATGCAAGAGCTCACCTAAAGTCGCACAGAGGCAGAGCCAGGTGTATTTGTTCAATTTAATTCAACATGGTGATCAAATACTTCTACTACTTTGAATAAGACTCAGGCTGGGCGCGGTGGCTCACATCTATAATCCCAGCACTTTGGGAGGCTGAGGCAGGAGGATCACCTGAGGTCAGGGGTTCAAGACCAGTCTGGCCAACATGGTGAAATCCCGTCTCTACAAAAATACAAAAATTAGCTGAGCATGATAACGGGTGCCTGAAATCCTAGCTGCTCAGGAGGCTGAGGTGAGAGAATCGCTTTAACCCAGGCGGCAGAGGTTACAGTGAGCCAAGATTGCACCATTGCACTCCAGCCTGGGCGACAGAGTGAGACTGTCTCAAAAAAAAAAAAAAAAAAAGACTCAATATGGTGTGTACAATTTAATGGAGGAGATAGACATGTACAAGTCATTAAATCCAGGCCAGAAACCAAGGCTCTGCTCTTTTCCTCTAGACTGGTCCAGTTAAATAGATGAGGCTCTCTAGTAAGATCAGTGTGCAGAAATCCCTTAAGATCTAACCGAACCCATGATGCCAACTCAGGGAAAAATATGGGAGAGAAATCAGAGAAGATTTAGATTGCTTCTTATGTGAAGCTTTAGTCATTGCTATTGCATACAGAACTTCTGAAGGAGACATCTAATACCCTCAACTATAAGGACAAGCCTGAACAAACCCAGACAGACATCTCGCTATGGATTTTCAGGATAATGTGGCCTGGGCTGATGGTACTGACCATCACCAGCCCTTCAGATGACCCTCTTACTGCCCTTTACATCCCTCATGCCCAGGTCTGTTCTGCTGCCCTCACACCCTTCTGATGAGGTTGCATCGCCTCTTTCAGAAGCTTCTCTTCGTAATCATGTTAGCTTTTCCTATTCTTGGTACCAAGGTGAAGCTCAGGCATACACCCTGATAGATGCCAAATGAAAGGTATTCTGGGAGCAGCATCAGATTATCTGTCATGAGGCCTGGGGTTAAATGGTGGCCTTACCCAAACTTGCTGTGTGTCTCTACAAAAGTCATTGAGTCTCTTGCCAAGGTCTGATGATCAACCAAGGAGCAAACATGCACTCCTGGCAGAGTTGTAGAAAGAGTGCAAGGATTTAGAGTCAGTAGGTTCAGGTTCCAGTCCCACCATTTGCGTTAATCTCTGAATATAATTTCATTTGTAAAAGGAAGCTGATAGCTATCCCATAGACTTGTTTTGAGGAGTAAGCGAGGCAATGCGGGAGAGTGTGCTTGCCAATCTCAAGCATTCTGAAACTATTAAAGATGGGTATTGTTACAGGAACTCTTGTTCTGATCACTCTCCCACTAGCTGGTCTGTTCAGTACTTGTGTTTGTAGTTTGGGGTACACGGTGGTTCCTCTGGTGAACAATTATGTTCTATGACTGCTCCCCAGCAGTGTTTTGCTCCCCAAGGTGAGTGGGAATCCCTCAAGGGACCTTACATTCCTTTTGTGTCTTCTGGTGCCACCTAACATAGACACACATGCCCCCAATACGGCAAGTTCTGTTAAATACATGCTTGAATGAATGGATTTTTTTAATGGATAGAAGTCTTTAAAAGCCTCCCCCTGGGCCTGCTGGTTAGCTGTTTACAGTTAATGGACCAGATCTTCTCATGACCTTTGCTGAGCATTTGCTAGCAGAGGGATGGCCTGAATGTATCCATCCCTAGGAAAGCTCACGTGACCTGTGAGTCTAGAAGCAGGTCAGTTTCTTCCTGAAGAAAGTCTTTCTTTCCTGAGCTTTCTCAGGACTCGGGTAACCTGGAGAGGGAAAAGGGAGGCTATACTCTTTGCCTTTTGAAACTGATGTCATCTTCAGACGGGCACCCTCGGGATGCTCTTTCTTGTCTTAGAAACCCTGGAAATAATGGAATGAAATCACTTGAATAAGGTTTTTGAAGACTGAGTTTGAATAGAAATCAGAGGAGCTTCAGAAACAGAAATTTATTACAGATTCAGTTAGGCTCCAGCCTCCTCCAGGAAAGGAATCCACTTAGCCCAGCTCTGATTTGGTTTAGTCTTCCATTTCCACTGGGCTCAGCTGAAATTCTTGTGATTGCTGCCACAGGACAGTCCTGGGGTCCCTTCCCAGTGCTTCCCTCCTGCCCTCTCCTGTCACTAATCTACTTTTATTTCTTTCCATTTATTTCTTAGAAGGCTTTTGTTTGCTACTAATTTGACTTCTTGGACCTCAAGGACAACCCATCTGGGCTGTCTTGTTAATCAGAGTTGTTTTTTTTCCTGTGAACCCTGCATGCTGCAGGCTCCCTCACCCTGGCCCTAGTGTAGTTGCTTTTCAGCAAAAATCTGGTTGCAAAAGTTAGACTTCTTTCCCCTCGGCATCCATTTTTTTAAAAAAATCTGTATTTAAACTTTTTGTATTACAATTTTTCCCTTCTCATTTGATTTTATTGCAGTATTTTACCCATTGAGCATCTTTTTAGCTTTTTCTGCATCTCAACAGACAGCACCAGGCCGCAAGTCCTAGAGATTGCTCCTTGTATTCCTGCATCGGCTGCCCTGATTTTCAGCCCCAGCAATGGCTGATTTAGAGCATGCAGTTCTGTTGTTCCCATGTCTTAATCCGCTACAGTGATTCTTAACCTCTTTGGTTGTGTCCCTATTTAGGAATCTGATGAGGGCCACTGACTAACCAGAGAAAAGTTAAATATACACAACCTTTTGTATATTTGGTGGGGATGGCAGCTTCAGAGGCTCCCTGAAGCCCTTCCATGGACTTAGTATCCATGGTGCCTAGGTTAAAAAGCCCTCCTCTAAACACTTAACATCATACGTTACCGTGTGGGGAGGTGGGAGGGAAAGAGGGGGAGTAAGAGGGCATGCGGAAGGATGTCCCGTAATTGTCACTAATACCTTCAAAGAGTTGTTTGGAAGCCCCTGGCTCTAATATTTATGAGTGATTCCTACTGACCTCCAAATAGAGAATAATAGTTCCAAGAGTGTGTTTTTGAACCAAAAAAGAGAAAAGATAAGAAAATAATGGATAAAATGCAAACACAGTGATTAAGTCGTATTATGGGAAATAAGCAGAAATTTACCTTCCAGGAAGTATGAGTTCAGTAGTAACAAGGAGCCAGATAGGGAACCTGAACTTGTACTCCCGCCTGGCAGTAACAGGGTGTCATCACTTCATTCTCTTGCTGGAGTGATGTCAGAGAAAGCCGGCTAAAGCAGGTTGAGGTAAAATTCAGAGTCTCATAACAGAATACTCAAAATGTTTGTGCTTCAGTTAAAAATCACTCACTATGCCAAGAACCAGGAATATCTCAATCTTAATGAAAATAAAAGCAATCAGTAGATGCCAATTCCAAGATAACAGAGATGTTAGAATAGTCTGACAGATTTTAAAGCAGCCATGATAAAAATGCTTCATCAAGGAATTACAAACACCCTCAAAATAAATGGAAAAAATAGAAAATCTCAGTTAAGAAGTAGAAGCCGTAAAGAAGACACAAATAGAAATTTAACAACTGATAAATATAATAATCAAAATAAACAGAAGGGAGCTCCACAACAGAATGGAGGAAACAGAGGAATGAATTGGTGAATGTGAAGATAAGACAATTGAAACTGCCCAAGCTGAAAAACAGAAAAAAATACTGAAGAAAAAGTAAAATTGAACAGTGCCTCAGGGGACCTATGAATCAGTAACAAAAGATCTAACATTGGAGTCCCAGAAAGAAAAGAAAAAGAGGGTGAGGTGGAAAAAGTGCTTGAAGAAATAATGGTGGAGGCATCCAAATTGGAAAGGAAGAAATAAAATTATCTCTATATACAGATGACATGATCTCATATGGAGAAAGCTCTGAAGATTACACACACACACCAAAAAATGTTAGAACTAATAAGTGAATTAAGCAAGGTAGCAGGATACAGATCAACACACAAAAATCAGTTGTATTTCTAAACGCTAAAAATGAACAATTCAAAAACAAAATTAAGAGAATAATGCTATTTGCAATAACACAAAACCAAGTAAGTTATTATCTGAGAATAACTGAATAAGTTATTCTCCATGAAGAAGGCATAAATAAGGAGAATGACATCTCATGTTCATAGGTTCGAAGACTTAGTATTATTAAGATGTCAATATTACCCAAAATAATCTTCAGATTCAATGCAATCTCTATCAAAATCCCAATGGCTTTTTTGGGGAAGAAGTAGAAAAATACATCTTGAAATATATATGGAACCTCAAGGAATCCCAAATAGCCAAAAGCAGTCTTGAAAAAGAAGAAGAAATATGGAGAACTCACAGTTCTTGATTTTAAAATTTACGAGAAAGCTACAGTAGTCAAAACAGGGTGATACTGGAATAGATGGACATATAGACCAATGGAATAGAATAGAGAGCCCAGAAATAAACCCTCGCATATATGATCAAATGATTTTCAACATGGATGCCAAGACCACTCAATGGAAAAATGACAGTCTCTTCAACAAATAGTGTTGGGGAAGCTGCATATCCACATGCAAAAGAATAAAGTTAGACCCTTTCTTAACACCATATAAAGTAACTCAAAATGGATCAAAGACCTAAACATATGAGCAAAAGCTTCTACTAGACTCTTAGAAGAACACATTAAGGAAAAAGCCTCATGACATTGGGCATAGTGATGATTTCTTGGATATGGCACCAAAGCTACAGGCAACAAAAGAAAATATAAACAAATTGGACTTCACCAAAATTAAACACTTTTGGGCATCAAAGGATACCATCAACAAAATAAAAAGCAACCCATAGAATGGGATATATACATACAAGGGAATATTATTCAGCCTTAAAAAGGAATAAAATTGTGACACATGCTACACATAAATGAACCTTGAAGGCATTATGCAAAGTGAAATAAGCCTGACAGAGAAGAACAAATATCATATTATTCCACTTATATGAGGTACCTAGAATAGTGAAATACCTAGAGACAGAAGTAGAACAGTGGTTACCAGAGTGTGAAGGGAGGAGGGGATGGGAAGCTATTGTTTAATGGGTACACAGTTTCAGTACAAGATGATGCAAAAGTTATGGCTATATGGATAGTAGTAATGGTTGCACAACAATGTGAATGTACTTAATGCTACTCAAGAGTTAAAAATAGTTAAAATGGTAACTATTAGTGTTTTGTGTACTTTACCATATTGTTTTTAAAAAAAGAATTAATAGTGGAAAACTTTGCAAATTTGGCAGGCGACATAAACCTGTAGATTTAAGAAGCTAAGCAAACCCCGAACAGTATAAACCGAAAGCAGTTCACACCAAGACTGTGGATCATACTCAAACTTCTGAAAACTAAAGACAAAAAAAAAAAAAGTCCTAAAAGCAGCAAGAGAAAAATGACAACTTACCTGTACAGGAAAAACAATTTGAATGACAGTGATTTTCTCATCAGAAACCACAGAAGCCAGATGAAAGTAGCATATTTTTTTCAAGTACTGAAAGAAAAGAACTGTTAACCCAAAGCTTGGGTTGCCCTTAGAATGTATGTTGTCCAGCAAGAATATCCTTCAGGAATGAAGAAGAAATCAAGACATTTTCAGATGAAGGAAAACTAAAAGAACTTATCGCTAGCAGACTTACTGTAAAAGAATGGCTAAAGAAGTTCTCTAAACAGAAAGAAAATGATAAAAGAAAGCTCTTGGAACATCAGGAAAGAAGAAAGAATATGGTCAGCAAAAGTGTGGGTAAGTAAAATGATCTTTCCTTCTCCCCTTGAGTTTTCTAGATTGTTTGATAGTTGAAGCAAAAATTATAACACTATCTGATATGATTCTAAATGTATGTAGTAGAAATATTTAGGGCAATTGTATTACAAATGGGGGAGTGGGGGAGGGTAAAATGTAAAGGGAAGGTTTCTACACTTGAGTTCAATGGGTAAAATGATGACACTAGTAAAGTATGATAAGTTATATACATATATATCTGTATATATACATATATAATATGCATACACATGTATATTATATACAAGTTATATATACATATATATGTGTGTGTATATATATATAAAATATATATAAATAATAAGACGTGGAGCAACCACAAAACTATATAAAGTAATACACTCAAAAGCACTAGAGAATGAAATTCTAAAAAAAAGTTTAACCCACAGAAAGGCAGGAAAAAGAAAGAAAAAGAGAGCAAACAGAAAACAAAAAATTAAATGGCAGATTTAAGCCCTGATGTATTAATAATAACATTGTAAATTATGTCAGTAGTCTATGTAAAAGATGTAAATTGCCTAAATATACCAATTAAAAGACAGAGATTAGTAGAACAGATTTTTAACAAATGACTCAAGCATATGTTGTCTGTAAGAATTCTTTTTAAATAGAATGATACAAATAGGTTGAAAGCAAAATGATGGAAAAAGATACATTATAAAAACACAATCAAAAGAAAGCTGGAGTAGCTATATCAATATTAAGTAAAGTAGACTTCAGAGCAAAGAAAATGTTATGAGAGACAGAGAGGGACATTGTATAATGAAAAAAAGGTCAGTCTACCAAAAAGACATAGTAGTACTAAATATGTATGCACCAAACAACACAGTTGCAAAACATGAGAAACAAAAACTGATAGAACTGAAAGGAGAAATGAGCAAATAGACAAGCACAGCTGGGAACATCAGACCTCCTCTGTCAACAGTTGGTAGAACAACTAGACAGAAACTGAGGAGGGATACAAAATAATTCCATAACACCATCAACCAATGGGACCTGACATTTAGAAAACACTTCACCCAGCAATAACAGAATGCACATTTTTAAGTAACTATAATACCAAAAGAGACCATTTTATGCCACAAAACAGATATCAATAAACATAAAAAGATTCAAGTTAATACAAAGTAAATTATCTGACCACAATGGAATTAAATTAGAAATCAGTAACAATATTTGGAAACAAAACCAAATCCACGCCTTGTAGCTGTGTCTGGCATGGCACATTGTACAACACATTGGGACTTGGGTTGCCCTTAGAATTTATATTGTCCAGTCTCATTATTTAGCTGAGGAAACATAACTTCTTCAGAGTCTCTCAGAGTTCAATTAATATGTACTGATTGATTGATTAAACAGTGATACAACAGCCATGCTTTTTCTGGAATGGCTACTACCACTGGAAAGCACAGACCTGAGCTCACCACATCTGTAACCCCTCCTGAGGGTGCCGTGGGGCCACCTGGTTCCTCCTTCCTCTGGGCGCCCCAGCACTTTGCATCTCTGTTGAACACACACTGTTCCACTGCAATGATCTGGTATTTACATTCTGTCCCTCTGACTATGCCAGAGCTTCTCCCAGGGCAAGGGCCAAGTTTTATTCATTAAAGCTGCTCAGACAGTATTGAGTGAATGAATGGGTAGATGTTATCTCTAAGGAAATTCTGCCTCCCAAAAGGACATATTCCTCCAGCGGAATACACACTTGAAGTTATCCAAGATGTAGAGTGGAGTGGGGTCTCCAGGGGTGCTGCTGAGCTGAGGTGGATCATCAAAGTCTTTGGGATTCTCTGCTGTCCTTGCAAAGGGCTTTTTGTGCCTCCAGAGCTGCTTAATGTGTTGTACCTCTTGCTTCTTGCATTTCCTCCTTTGAATGCCCCAGACCAGCTTCCTCCTCCCTGTGCCCCACCCTCTGCTTTTCTTTCATTCTGAGTTGGGCAGAATAAGAAAACCTGCTTTATTTTTTCCCGTCGTGATTTGATTCCAGGGGTTCTTATCATGCATACATTTCTTTTCCCTCTGATTTTATATCCATATTTAAATCATACTTGGGAAGTCACTTACTAGATTCCTCAAGCTCATGGTAGAAACTGTTTGAGATCCTTGATAAGCTTAATATATTCATATTAAAATTAATAGGAGAGGTATATTGTTTCCAACTTTATGATTTGATTTAAATTCATTTTATTTAATATATGACCACAATTCTAAAATTACTTAAAAAAACAGATGAGATTGAAATCAATTCTGGGGACCCTTTCTCTATTACTGAGTTAACTGTATGCCTGTAATGTGGCAGACAAGCTATGCTGCTTTTCTCATGTGACATTTCGAGTCTGGATGTGGGTGTAGCAGGCACCCTCCTTGGAGGCTTCAAATGAGTGCTCTGTGAAAGATTATGTGCAGGCTCTTTTTAAATGCTACCATTAAAAAAAATAAAATTTAATGGAAAGAGATAAGCTTTTCCCAACACCAGCCTGCTCCAATTTTATATTTCCTTAATCTGTTTTATATGCTACTGCAGGAAATTAAACCAGAATTGTCCTCTCTGACATGCGCATGGGTGACAGATGGGAGTGGTAGGAGAAGGGAGACACAGAGCTACTTGAAACAATTGCTCTCGTTTGTCAGAAATTTATTGTAACTTTTTTGGGGGATGGTAATGTGAGGGGAAGCCCTCCTCATCTTCCTGCTGTACTGAAGGGCTGTGCCCAGGGCCACACAGGGCCCTCTCCGTACATCGTTGAGGACTGTCTGCCCCAGCTCACCCAGTGCTGAAGGGCTGTGCCCAGGGCCACACAGGGCCCTCTCCGTACATTGTTGAGGACTGTCTGCCCCAGCTCACCCATAGGCCCAGGTGATGTTCAAGACAAGGACCAGATGTCCTCATCACCAGGTGTGAATTGCAGCTTCCTGCTGACCTGTGTCACACCATTCATCCACGCACACATCCGCACACACAGTCACTAACATATTTTGCACATTACTGAATCCTACTTCTTTCTTCTCGTTTTTCTCTCCCTTTCTCATCTACATCTGCCCATCTTTCAGAGAAAAGTATGTTTGCTTGTGAATTAATCAAATCTATATGGCGTTTTACTTTCTAGACAGATGATGTAGTTTCTTTTTTTTTTTTTTCAGTTGCTTCAGATTAGTTCTCTGCCCCTACCCATACCCATTTCCTCTCTGTTTCTAGCCACCCTATGGACGAGATCCTCTAAACTTAGTATCTCAGACTCTACACACACATTCCTGAGGGTTGCCCCTGTTCCCCTTTGCTACTGGTGATGCATTCAGCATCAAGTAAGAGAACACAGAACATGACCAGCAGCATCTTGACAAGGAAGGCACCTGTGTCCCCTCAGGGTATCTCTGCAGCCATGTCCAGGAGAGCCTCTGCTCCTCTCCTTGGTCACTGCAGTCTGTTCATACGGGGAGGCTGCACAATGCAGTCATGGAATGGACACACTGGGTTGAGTCCTGAGAGCCGAGAGGTCATCCTTAGTCTAACTCTCAAGCCAGGTGACCTCAGGAAGCACTTCCTTCCATAACATGAGGGTATTGGACTAGATGATCCTTCTGGTCTTTCCTCAAGGAAGCAGGCTGTGAGGTGTGGATGTGAAGCTGGAGGAAGGCCAGGAAACTCCCCCTTCCTGGCTGTGGCTCTAATTCCAGAATGGCTGAAGAACTGGAAGTAGTTACCGTACTGTGGGATGGGCAGGTCTGCCCCTTCCATGAACAGGAATATACTGGATCAGTGGGGAGTAGACCTTACTCTTAAAGCTGCAAAAGAGGAGAAAGTGAAACTCACCACTGGAACTGGAAGAAAAGAGCGAGGAAGGAAGCCTGGAGCCTGTAGTATGTTCAAAGCATGCCAGTGAACTTATGTTGTTGAAGTGACAAGAAGATGGCTTTGTCATTTAGCCTCTGAGTCAAGTCAGAGAGAAGCACAGATCATTCTTCAGATGGGGAACCTGGGGAATGTAACCAGGAGGGCAAAAAAGAGGCTGGTCTGGAAATTCTGAGCAACAAGGCCAGGCCCTCACCCAGCCGAGGGCCTCTGTGAGGGCAGGGAGGGAGGCGAGGCCGAGCAGGTTAGGTCTGGCCTTTTTCAGGACGGAGGGTTACGTCCCTCTCTGCAAAGATCTTTCCAGGCAGTGATTCTGCCCCATTCATCTTCCTTTGCCAGATCACAAGCACTCTGGCTCTTTGTTGAGTAAAAGGGAAGAGAACATCTAAGAGTGCTTTCAAGTAAGAAAATTTCCCATGAAGGCTCTCTGATCTGAGAAACCTTCTCTTTCCGCAATCGTGCTGTCACACAGGTCTCTGCCTCAGACCTCAAGATGTCCAGAGCAGCGGAGGATCCAGGGCAGTGTGGAGAAAAGAGAATAAAACACGAGGCATGTGCTCCATGAATGCCATCAAACATTTGTTTTTAATCTTCTGCCCAGGGGAATCTCATAGAGCTGGGCTGCTTGCAAGGTGGGGGCTGGTCCCAACTCCTCCCCTGCACTCCGGACAGCCCCCTGCCTAGGGATTTGCTGGCAGATGCTGTGCACCCACAGAGCAGACTTGCTCGCATGAATAGGAAGTCAATTCCCACCGCCAGCATCTCAGCTCCAGCCACCTTCTGGGCTTTGCAGCTGGAGTGTCACAGGGTGAGGGGCCAGACTGCCAGTGCGGGGTCACAACTGGACTCAGAGCAGAGCTGTCTTCCAGGCTGAGAGGCCAGGGTCTGAGGCGCTGGCCCTTTCTCTCTCTCTCTCTTTTTCTCTCTCTCTTTCTCTCTCTCTCTTTCTCTCTCTCTCTCTTTCTCTTTCTCTCTGTCTCTCTGTCTCTCTCTCTCTTTCTCTCTCTTTCTCTCTCTCTCAGCAGCAAATCTAGACCCCCTCTGTCTGCCTGTTTTCCTTCCAGCCTAAAGGGAACATTCAAGAGGTGAAAAAAGAAGCCAGAAACAGAGGTTGAAATTACCCATCCCCCTGAAATGCTTTGTTTCTCGAAGCTTCAGCGTTTTTCCAACGTAGAATGGAAAGTTTTCCTGCATGCAGAATTGCAAAATGCAGGCGTCTCACCACATGACCACCAAGGTCTGAAATCTCTGTGGTTTTCAAGATGTTCATGCTCAAGAATTCCACCCCTAGCAATTGCTCTTAAATATCCAAGAAAGGCAAAAAATCTATTCTGGAAGGTCTGCATCATATCCTAATAAACAATTGGAGGTGATCTAAATTTCCAGGAGTAGCTTAGTAAATAATGGTTTATAAGCATGATGGCATTCATTATATACAACAATTAAAATGGTAATTCTTCTGGCTATAAATTAACACTGAATCATGAGTAGTTGATGTTATTTGTTGAGAGTTTGCTCTATCAGTTGTTTTCAACCTTGAGAACATGTTGGAATCTCCTGGGGCCTAGGCCTCATTCCTGGAGAGCAGGCTTCAGCTGTTGATGTGCAGGGTCTGGCCCTCGGTGTCTCTTTTGAAGCTCCCTGGTTGATCCTGCTGTGTAGCTAAGGCTGAGAGCCTCAGTGCCACTTCCAGGTACTTTGGGTGCATAACAGCCACCAGAGTCATATCTTTACAAGTCTCCTGGGCACATTTACATCAAATGCAGTGGTTCTGGTGTCCCTCCCTTCTCCCCAGTCCACCCCACCCCACCCCACCCCCCCATTTGGGCAGGGCAGGATAATATTGCTTATCTCTTATTTATTACAAAAATATTTTCAAGGATACTCTGGTTGTTTGTTGTTCCATAACCATCCCAAAACTGAATGGAGTAAACAACGGCAAAATTATTGCACAAATGCTGTGTGTCAGGAATTGGCACACAGCATAAGAATGGCTTTCTTCTTTTCTACAATGTCTGGTGTTTCATCTGGGAAGACAGATCTGGCAGTCTTCAGCTGGGTGCTGGAATCGTCTGAAGGTTTATTTATGTACATGTCTGGTGCCTTGTCTAGAATGACTTGAAAGATGAGCTTGGCTAAGACTGCCAGCCAGAGTGCCTGTACACGGCCTCCCTCTATGTGGCTTGGGCTTCCTTGCAGCATGGAGTCTCTTGGTTCTGGGAGCAAACATACTGACCAGTAAACAACACAGAGGCCTTTTTGACCTAGTCTCACAAGTCAGTTGCTTTACTTCTATTATACTCTATTATTGAAGTACTCATAAGCCCACACAGATTTCAGAAATATTTTGAAGATAAGAGTTGACAAGATTTAATAATGGACCAAATATGAGCAGTGAAGGAGAGGACTGTTGAAATGCCAGTGCTATAATATGATATGAAAAAAAATGTGAGAATACATGTATATAATAATCCTGGTGCATATAGATGAGAATTGAATGGAGTGTGCAATAAAGAAAAATTTTAAGGTGGTAGCAGCATGGTCTTTCATATGACTCAATCATTTTGGTAACTCTTCTTATCCCTGTGACTACCCACCAAACCTGTGCACTGACAGTCTTTGAAGATCATCGATTGTCACTGGGCCCCAGCATGACTCGAATAGTGAGTCTGCTTTCCAAATACCACATTCAGAAATCACCCTTTTCATGTGACTTTCCAGCTGGGAGAACCACAGTGCTGTAAGCCTGTTAAAGACTGTTCACCCTGTAAACCTGTGGGGTTCACCAGGCCCCTGGCATCATGGGGTAAAGGTGGGGAATGGCCTGAGCTCACCTATTTTGGGGTCTAATCTCTCTTCCGTCCTTTCTCTTTAGGCTTTTGATATTATGAGAGTGACACATGGCAGAGAACACAGCCTGATTGAAGATTTGATTCTACTTTTAGAAGAATGCGACGCCAACATCAGAGCATCCTAAGGGAACGCAGTCAGAGGGAAATACGGCGTGTGTCTTTGTTGAATGCCTTATTGAGGTCACACACTCTATGCTTTGTTAGCTGTGTGAACCTCTCCTATTGGAAATTCTGTTCCGTGTTTGTGTAGGTAAATAAAGGCAGACATGGTTTGCAAACCACAAGAATCATTAGTTGTAGAGAAGCACGATTATAATAAATTCAAAACATTTGGTTGAGGATGCCATCTGGTAATTGTCTTATTTGCTTACTCATTGGCGATTTTAATGTTTAAAATACCAACATTCAAGACAGAAAATCATATTAAAAGCATGACAAATAAGTTATAACTTTCTCTTTGGATATATGTAGGGATAATTAGATAAAAGTCACTATTTTCACATTTGCTTCCAAGCAAAAACTTAATGTCCATTTTGGCAAGAAGCAGAATTTTGAGATGTCATCTTTTGCTCTTTGTGATAAATGATGTTTGTGTTTGTTATTTACTTCCAAATACTTCTCCAACACAAGAAGTTTTATCCTAAATGCTAGGAAGAAGCCATTTTAGATATTACTAGAAAAGGATAGGAAGTCTTAATGCCAAAAACCAGTTTTTCGAATGTCTCACAGCTCTTTGTGTAAACCTTTCTCATCAGCATTTTATAACTCCTTGTGTATGTCTTTTTTTTTTCCTTGAAATTTTTTCTGTAATTAGCCAAATGTGTGGTTCAGCATGTGAGTGTGTGAGTGTGGTATGCACGGTGTAAAGCTCCATTATCCTGCAGCAAGCAAGGTTCTCGCATCCCAGCTCAAATCAGACTTGCTTGCTTGCTTTTTCCTCTTTATTATTTCCTAATTCTTTGGCCTGTTCTTCTGCCTTTCTACTTTAGACAAATACAGAAAACCTTTTCTTTTCCACTTCTAAAAATGTCAATTGTCTTATGGCTCAGGGATCCTGTGAGCAGTGCAGTCCCTCACGCTTAGATGACACTGGTGGTAACTGAAGCCCGTGGATTCCTAGAGTTGAAAGGATTCTTAGAGAGCGTGCAGTCATCCACACTTTATTTCACAAGCAAGGAAATGGGCGGTGGCAGAATCCAGAGTAGCAACCCACATTCCTGAGTCCCGCTCAGGAGCCCTCCCCGTCTTTCACAGAGGGCGCCGCAAGTCCTCTGACGAGGCACTGTTAGAATGGCACATGGATGTCTGATGGAGCGTGAAGGAACCAACCTTACTTCTACAACAGAGAAAGCTGATGACTTGAAACTGGAGTCCTCTTAGGCTGAACACATGGTGACCACTTTGATAGAAAAAAAATATACAATATCCTGCATCCTGATGAGTTCTAAAGCCTTTCCATAAGCTTGTTTCTGCTTGAGCCACCGTCTATTATGTATCAAGGACATCTCTAAAGCACACAGGATCTTTAACAACCACAACAGCATGACAAGGTAGGTATTTTGAAGCCCATTTTATAAAAATGAGGAAATGGAATCCTTGGTGTGCTGTTTCCCTCCTGATTGACTTGAGTAGCCTTGAGAAAAAGGGGTTTAATTGCAGCCTTTTCAAGGGGCCATTTCTACCCAGTTCAACAAATACATATTGAATGGTTACAGGGTTTAAAGGGAAAGGAGATACAAAGACTGAATAAGACACATCCCCATCTTCCAAACGGACACTGTCTGGTCTGGTACTTGTATCAGTTAGCTTTTTTTTCCCTCTCATTTGAGGTTTATTATTATTATTATACTTTAAGTTCTGGGGTACATGTGCAGAATGTGCAGGTTTGTTACATAGGTATACACGTGCCATGGTGGTTTGCACCCATCAACCCATCATCTACATTAGGTATTTCTCCTAATGCTATCCTTCCCCTAGTCCCCCACTGCCCCGACAGACCCCGCTGTGTGATGTTCCCCTCCCTGTGTCCGTGTGTTCTCATTGTTCAACTCCCACTTATGAATGAGAACAGGCGGTGTTGGGTTTTCTGTTCCTGTGTTAGTTTGCTGAGAATGATGGTTTCCAGCTTTATCCGTGTCCCTGCAAAGGACATGAACTCATTCTTTTTTATGGCTGCATAGTATTCCATGGTGTGTATGTGCCACATTTTCTTAATCCAGTCTATTATTTCTGGGCATTTGGGTTGGTTCCAAGTCTTTGCTATTGTGAACAGTGCCACATTAAACATACATGTACATGTGTCTTTATATTAGCATGATTTATAATCCTTTGGGTATATACCCAGTAATGGGATCACTGGGTCAAATGGTATTTCTGGTTCTAGATCCTTGAGGAATCACCACACTGGCTTCCACAATGGTTGAACTAATTTACACTCCCACCAACAGTGTAAAAGTGTTCCTATTTCTCCACATCCTCTCCAACATCTGTTGTTTCCTGACTTTTTAATGATTGCCATTTTAACTAGTGTGAGATGGTATCTCATTGTGGTTTTGATTTCCATTTCTCTAATGACCAGTGAGAATGAACATTTTTTCATATGTTTGTTGGCCGCGTAAATGTCATTTTTTAAGAAGTGTCTGTTCATAAACTTCACCCACTTTTTGATAGGGTTGTTTTTTTCTTGTAAATTTAAGTTCTTTATAGATTCTGGATATTAGCCCTATGTCAGATGGATGGGTTGCAAAATTTTTCTCTCATTCTGTAGGCTGCCTGTTCACTCTGATGATAGTTTCTTTTGCTGTGCAGAAGCTCTTTAGTTTAATTAGATCCTATTTGTCAATTTTGGCTTTTGTTGCCATTGCTTTTGGTGTTTTAGCCATGAAGTCTTTTCCCATGCCTATGTCCTGAATGGTATTGCCTACATTTTCTTTTAGGGTTTTTATGGTTTTAGGTCTTATGTTTAAGTCTTTAATCCAACTTGAGTTAATTTTTGTATAAGGTTTAAGGGAGGGGTCCAGTTTCAGTTTTCTGCATATGGCTAGCCAGTTTTCCCAACACCATTTATTAAATAGAGAATCCTTTCCCCATTGCTTGTTTTTGTCCAGTTTGTCAAAGATCAGATGGTTATAGATGTGTGGTGTTATTTCTGAGGCCTCTGTTCTGTTCCATTGGTCTGTGTATCTGTTTTGGTACGAGTACCATGCTGTTTCGGTTACTGTAGCCTTGTAGTATAGTTTCAAGTCAGGTAGCATGATGCCTCCAGCTTTGTTCTTCCTGCCTTAGATTGTCTTGGCTATGCAGGCTCTTTTTTGATTCCATATGAAATTTAAAGTAGTTTTTTTCCAATTCGGTGAAGAAAGTCAATGGTAGCTTGATGGGGATAGTACTGAATCTATAAATTACTTTGGGTAGTATGGCCATTTTCATGATATTGATTCTTCCTATTCATGAGCATGGAATGTTTTTCCATTTGTTTGTATCTTCTAATTTTCTTGAGCAGTGGTTTGTAGTTCTCCTTGAAGAGGTCCTTCACATCCCTTGGAAGTTGTATTTCTAGGTATTTTGTTGTCTTTGTAGCAATTGTGAATGGGAGTTCACTCATGATTCGGCTCTCTGTTTGTGTATAGGAATGCTTGTGATTTTTGCTCATTGATTTTGTATCCTGAGACTTTGCTGAAGTTGCTTATCAGCTTAAGGAGATTTTGGTGCTGAGATGGTGGGGTTTTCTAAATATAGAATCATGTCATCTGCAAGCACAGACAATTTGACTTCCTCTCTTCCTATTTGAATACGCTTTATTTCTTTCTCTTGCCTGATTGTCCTGGCCAGAACTTCCAATACTATGTTGAATAGGAGTGGCGAGAGAGGGCATCCTTGTCTTGTGCCGGTTTTCAAAGGGAATGCTTCCAGTTTTTGCCTATTCGAGCTCTGATAAGGGTTAGACTACCTCCTCAAGTGGGTCCCTGACCCCTGTGTATCCTGACTAGGAGACACCTCCCAGTAGGGGCCAACAGACACCTCATACCGGAGAGCTCTGGCTGGCATCTGGTGGGTGCCCTTCTGGGACAAACCTTCCAGAAGAAGGAACAGGCAGCAATCTTTGCTGTTCTGCAGCCTCCGCTGGTGATACCCAGGCAAACCGGGTCTGGAGAGGACCTCAGCAAACTCCAGCAGACTTGCAGCAGAGGGGCCTGACTGTTAGAAGGAAAACTAACAAACAGAAAGGAATAGCATCAACATCAACAAAAAGGACGTCCACTCAGAGACCCCATCTGAAGGTCACCAACATTAGAGACCAAAGGTAGATAAATCCATGAAGATGGGGAGAAACCAGCAAAAAAAAAAGGCTGAAAATTCCAAAACCCAGAATGCCTCTTCTCCTCCAAAGGATCACAACTCCTCGCCAGCAAGGGAACAAAACTGGATGGAGAATGAGTTTGACAAATTGACAGAAGTAGGCTTCAGAAGGTGGGTAATAACAAACTCCTCCAAGCTAAAGGAGCATGTTCTAACCCAATGCAAGGAAGCTAAGAACCTTGAAAAAAGGTTCAATGAATTGCTAACTAGAATAACAAGTTTAGAGAAGAACATAAATGACCTGATAGAGCTGAAAAACACAGCACGAGAACTTTGTGGAGCATATACAAGTATCAGTAGCCAAATCAATCAAGTGGAAGAAAGGATATCAGAGATTGAAGATCGACTTAATGAAATAAAGCAAGAAGACAAAATTAGAGAAAAAAGAATGAAAAGAAATGAACAAAGCCTCCAAGAAATTTGGGACTATGTGAAAAGACCACATCTACGTTTGACTGGTGTACCTGAAAGTGACAGGGAGAATGGAACCAAGCTGGAAATCTCTCTTCAGGATATTATCCAGGAGAACTTCCCCAACCTAGCAAGTCAGTTAGCTTTACCGCATAACAAACTACCCCAGAACTTAGTTGCTTAAAATAACCTTTTTTTTAAGGTTATTGTAAGTCAGCAGTTTGAGCTGGACAGTCCTTCTGGTTTGGCCTAGGCATGCTGGTCTCAGTGGGCTCACTCACTCTATGTGGTTGCTGGTTGGTAGGTCTGCTGGGAAGTGGAGGTGACTGGGCCATGTAGCTCATCAGTTCGCCCAGCCTTGTTCACGTGGCTGTGGAGTTCTGGGCACTGTAAGGAGGCAAGCCCCAGTGTACAAATACTTTTTCAACTCTGCTTGTATCATATTAGTATCCCATGGACCACAGCCAATCTCAAGGCCACCCCAGAATCAAGGGATGGGTACAGGCTCCTCATTAGGAGGGACTGCAGAGCACCATTGCAAGGGCGTGGACACCTGGGGAGGAAGAAACTGGAGCCATCACTGCAGTCCACCATAGTTAGCCTTACGTTTTTTGTTTTTGTTTTTTTGTTTGTTTGTTTGTTTGTTTGTTTGTTTTTGATGTTACAGAACATTTAGTGAATTTGATGAATCTAAAGACCTTCTTTCTAGAAAACCATACAGTTTTCCCTTGGTATCCATGAGGGATTGGCTCCAGGACATCCTGGGTACCAAAATCCACAGGTGCTCAAGTTCCCGACATAAAATGGCGTGGTATTTGCTTATAACCCATGCGCATCCTCGCGTACCTTAAATCATCTGTAGATTGCTTGTAATACTTACTAAAATGTAAATGCCATGGAAATAGTTGCTATACTGCATTTAAGGAATAATGACAAGGAAAAAGTTTGTACCTGTTCCATACAAATGCAGTGTTTTTCTGAATATTTTCAACCCAATATTAGTTGAATCCACAGATGGCGGGACCTGCAGATACAGAGGGCCAACTGTACGTATGAACAGTTTGCTTTTAGGATCAGAGATTCTGAGACTCCCTGTGGCCCATCAGTGGATACCCTGGGGCCCTTCATCAGATGAGAAATAGACTTGCTACCTTTCAAAAACACTGGTGGGAATTGTACGGGTTCCTCATTTTAAATTCATTAGGAAAAAAGTCATAACAGAAGGTAGGAATAGTAACTTACATGCCAGATGAGCAGCGTTCACTGAAAGAACCTTGTGTTTGCCAAATTTTCTGAATGAAATTTATCAGTCAGTGATGATCCTGGATTAAGAGATTTGCCTTCACGCCTCCTAGAGAAAGCATGATAGGCTTTTAAATCCCTCTCATCCCGCTTCCAGTTTTCTAAGAGCTAGGGGCCCTGCCTGCATCAACTTTTAATAGAAAGCAAACATCTAAGCAAAGGTAAACATTTACCAAACAACTTTACAGCAAAATAATTTTGGAGAAGGGGGCAAGGGATGGAGAACAAAATTTAAAATTCGTGTCACCAGTGGCTGGCGATTTATTGCCACCCCAGCCTCCATGACTGCTATTTCATTAATCCATAGTCATTGTAGCGGCAGGCTTTTTTCACGTCAGTAACTTGATGCCATTAGTTGCTCCTTTGGGATGAGAACACATTTAAACTGAAAATGAACATGCTGGACATAATTTATAGCCATGCCACATGAATGCCAAGAGTGCAGGGGAGGAAGGCTGCCCGGGAAGCCTGCTCAGAATGGATGCTCAGGACATGCTTGCTGTAGCCAGGCAGGAGCGCTGGGCAGGCAGGGGGGCAGCCGGAGCCTGATGAAGCCAGACAGCCACAAACCACAGAGGCCCCGAGTCAGCCTTCGCTGCAGGGATGAAAGAGAAATTCCACACGTGGGGGCCCGTCCCTGAGTTAGGTCTTGAAAATGCTTTTCTGCCCCAATTGGGAATTGATGTTCGCTCACTCAAGAGTAGCCCACTGGGATCCTGCAGGGAGAAGATTCTGGGCGTTGTCTGTGGAGCATCGTGTAATCCCTATGACAGGCAATCGTTGGCAGAAGCCTCAGGAAGCCCCTGGCGCCCTCTCTGTCCCTGAAGTAAGTAAGAGATCAAACTGGTTGAGGAGAAGGACCAGAAACACTACCCCCAAATTGGGACACCCCCTTAACTTCTGGAGGTTTGTAAGCATCTGAAAGCTATTGGCTCAAAGTCAACATATTCAAAATTGATTCAAAACATGTTAAAAACCAGTTCTCTGCCTTTCATATTTAGTTCAATGCCATCATGGCCCCTTCCACTCTTCATCATAGAAACTCACTTACTGATTCTCTCTTCTCCTTTACTGAGGGAAGCAATTCTATCTATTCATCCCGCAAAGTGCTTTTTTGAATTTCAGCCTTGTTTCCCAGCCCCTGAGCAGGCCTCAGCACCTCATTTCTCAGCCACTGCAAAGACCCCCTCACTGATCTCATTTCTTTTGGTAATGAGTGATATTTAGAAACCCTAACCTGGTTGCTCCTAACCTGGGCCTTTTTAAGATCATGAATCCACCAATTAAAATCCAACATCTGGGGTGGTTCCTCATCTTTCTCCTTCCATGTTTGTGCTTCCCTTATACATACAAAATAGTTTTGAAATTATTACATTACAACCATGACAAACACAAGCCTAAGTGAAATTTGAGATTCCTTTCCAGTGTTTTTTTTCCTTAGACAAAAACTTTTATAATCAGAATACTACGTTTAAAAGTTACTTGAATTGTTATTTTCTGTATGATTACATATTTAATTTAATATCTAAGTTTGTTTCTATTTGAATTCAATTTTAGGGTTTTCCCATTATTGATTTATATTGGCATCTATCTGTCAATACAAAGGTATAATATGTATTTTGTTATCTTAAATAATGCCATGAGGAATAATCTTGGCCTTCTGTCTTTTCACATTGCTGGAAATGCATCTTGCAGGATAATTTTCTACAAGTAGAGTTGTTGAGTCAAAGGGTAAACGCATATGTCATTTTATAGGGTATTGTCAAATTCACCTCTCGAGGGGTTGTATGACCATGCCTGTTTCCTCTCAGCCTTGCCAACAGATTGGATTGTCCAGCTTCTGAATTTTTTGCTAAGCTAATAGGTAAGAAATGGTATCTCAATGTAGTTTTTTGGTTTTGTTTTTGAGACAGACTCTTGCTGTGTCACCCAGGCAGTGCCATGATCTCAGCTCACTGCAACCTCCACCTCCCGGGCTCAAGCAATTCTGGTACCTCAGCCTCCCAAGTAGCTGGGATTTCAAGCATGTGCCACCACACCTGGCTACTTTTTTTTTTTTGTATTTTTAGTAGAGACAGGGTTTTACCATGTTGGCTGAGCTGGTCTCAAACTAATGACCTCAAGTGATCCACCTGCCTCAGCCTCCCAAAGCGCTTGGATTACAGGCATGAGCCACCATGCCTGGCCCACTAGTGGGGTTTTTTGTTTGTTTGTTTTTGGAGACGGGGTCTCGCTCTGTCACCCAGGATGGAGTGCGGTGGTGTGATCATAGCTCACTGCAGCCTCAAACTCCTGGGCTCAAATTATCCTCTTACCTCAGCTTCCTGAGTAGCTGGGACTACAGGTGCATGCGACCATGCCCAACAATTTTTTTTTTTTTTTTGGTAGAAACAGTCTACTGTGTTGCCCAGGCTGGTCTCAAACTCCTTGCCTCAAGCAATCCTCCCACTTTGGACTCTCAAAGTTCTGGGATTACAAGTGTCAGCCACTGTGTCTGGCCCCTCAATGTAATTTTAATTTGCACTTTCTAATTAGTGAAGTTGAGTGTCTTTTTCTTTTTAATCTTTTTTATTTTTTAAATAGAGATGGGAGGGTCTCCCTCTGTTGACCAGGCTGGTCTTGAACTCCTGGCCTCAAGATCCTCCTACCTCCGCCTCCCAGAGTGCTAGGATTACAGCTGTGAACCACCACACCTTGCTGAGTGTGTGCCTGTGTGTCTGTCTGTCTGTCTTTCTATCTTCTGTATAAAATTTAACTTTTAAGTTCAGGGGTACATGTGCAGCTTTGTTATATAGGTACATTTGTGTCATGGGGGATTGCTGTACAGATTGTGTCATCACTCAGGTATTAATAGTACCCATTAGTTATTTATCCTGTTCCTCTCCCTCCTCCCACCACCCTCTGATAAGTCCCAATGTATGTTTTTCCCCTCTATGTGTCTGTGTGTTCTCATCATTTAGCTCCCACTTATAAGTGAGAACATATGGTATTTGGTTTTCTGTTCCTGTGTGAGTTTGCTAAGGATAGTAGCCCCCAGCTCCATCCATGTTCCTGCAAAGGATATGATCCCATTCTTTTTTATGGCTGCATAGTATTCCATGTTGTATATGCACCACATTTTCTTTATCCAATCTACCACTGATGGGCAGTTAGGTTGATTCCATGTCTTTGCTATTGTGAATAGTGCTGCAGTCAACATATGCGTGCATGTGTCTTTATGGTAGAACAATTTATATTCCTTTGGGTATATACTGGGTATATTTGCTGGGTCAAATGGTATTTCTGTTTTTAAGTCTTTGAGGAATCACCATGCTGTCTTCCACAATGGTCGAACTAATTTATATTCCCACCAACAGTGTTTAAGTATTTCTTTTTCTCTACAACTTCTCCAGGGTCTGTTATTTTTTTACTTTTTAGTAGTAGCCATTCTAACTAGTATGAGATGTATTTCACTGTGGTTTTGATTTGCATTTCTCTAATGATTAGTGATGTTGAGTTTTTTTTCATATGATTGTTGGCCACATGTATGTCTTCTTTAGAAAAGTGTCTGCTCATGTCCTCTGCCCACTTTTTACTGGCGTTCTTTTTTCTTATAACTTCAAGTTCCTTCTTGATGCTGGATAGTAGACCTTTTCAGATGCATAGTTTGCCAGTATTTTCTCCCATTCTGTAGGTTGTCTGTTTACTCTGTTGACAGTTTCTTTTCCTTGTGTCTATATTTTTGTGAACAATCTTTACATGTCTTTTGTCTATTTTTCTCTCAGGGTTTTTGGTCTTTTTTCCTCCCTTGATCTTTAGTTCTTGTATATTAGGGAGATTTCCCTTATCTGTGGTATTTAGTCTCTCAGTTTGTCATTTATTTTTTTACTTTGCTTTTGTTTTTTGCCCTGAGTTCCTTTGAATAGTATTTCCAAAAACATTAAGAACTCTACTCTAGGCCAGGCATGGTGCCTTATGCCTGTAATCCCAGCACTTTGGGAGGTCATGGTGGGAGGATCATTTTAGTGCAGGAGTTCAAGACCAGCTTGGGCAGTATGGCAAAACTCTGTCTCTACAAAATAGACAAAAATTAGCCGAGTGTGGTGGCACACACCTGTAGTCCCAGCTACTCAGGAGTCTGAGGCAGGAGATCACTTGAGCCCAGGAGGCAGAGGTTGCAGTGAGCCAAGATCATGCCACTGCACTCCATCTTTGGCCACAGAGCCAGACCCTGTCTCAAAAAAAAAAAAAGCATGATAAACCAGAGTCCAGTTGTAAAGTTAACCATCACCAACTTTCTTCATATGATCCTTGATTTTTAAATATTCAGGAAGAGATAGCTTATATATCCTGGGGAATATGTGTAAGAAATAAGTCTAAAGTTATTAGAGCCAGGAAGATGTAATATAATTCTGGATCAGACTGAATTTATCAATAAAGATGGTGGGTTTAATGATGTAGCATGATGGCTAAGACTGACTCTAACAATTTGCTTGCTTGCTTGACTGAAACTGAGACCTAAACTTGTCTCGTTAAATGAGATTGAGAAGTCAGAACTTCCTGGTGTGTTGAAGAGGAAGCAGTACAAAGACTTAAAGATATTAAAATGTTGGAATGTTTTATCATGGCTATCACATCCCCACAGCCACCCCAACTCCAAGGTAGCTCTCAATCATATACCCCAGAGGACACTCCATTTACTAATGCACTAAAAAATGCCTTAGTGGGCGGGTGCAATGGCTCACTCCTGTAATCCCAGCACTTTGGGAGACCAAGGCAGGCAGATCATGAGGTCAGGAATTCAAGACCAGCCTGGCCAACATGGTGAAACCTTGTCTCTACTAAAAATACAAAAATTAGCTTGGCATGGTGGCGCATGCCTGTAATCCCAGCTACTCGGGAGACTGAGGCAAGAGAATTGCTTAAACTGGGACCCGGGAGGCGGAGGTTGCAGTGAGCTGAGATCACGCCACTGCACTCCAGCCTGGGCTATAGAGCGAGACTCTGTCTCAAAAAAAAAAAAAAGCTTCAATGAGAGGAGCATTTCATCTTTGAAAAACTCCGTGGTGGCTGTGCTCTTCAGAACCCAGGGAGGATGATGAGAGATGCCAGCCCTGAAATGGGCTCTTTAGTTTCACTGAGAATAATAAGATTTCAGAGGGACAAAACTTAACCTCCAAAGAGAAGGTGGGAACAGTCATTATAATTAGTATGGGCAAAGTGGAAATCAGAGTTTTTTTGACTTCAATTAGTTTTTTCTATATCAATTTGCAAGGACGAAAAGAAGCACTTTGCTTTTACATGGTAGGACCAGCAGTACATCTTCACAATTTTGCCTTCAGACTATGTCAGTGTTCCCAAAATCTAGTCTTCCCAGATCTGAATCATTTTGTTATCCCACAGAACGTTACTTTGGTTCACTACATTGATGACATTCTGCTAAATTGGCCTGGTGAACAGTAAATGGCAAATTCCTTCACTGATCTACTAAGACCATACATGCCAAAATCCCACCACAGAAGTGAAGTTTCTAAATTACAATACTGTAGACAATTTGAGGTTATTCCCTTCAGAGTGAAAGATGAGTTATTGCACCTTTGGAATATACCAATTAGAAAGTGACATAGCACTTGGTGGACTTTGGATTTTTCAGTGTTAGAGATCCCATTTGACTATGCTACTCTGACCCATTTACTGAGTGGCATTTATCAATAGGAAGATCCCTGGAATTTTGGAGCAAAGGCACTCCCTCTTCTGTAGATAATTCTTTTGAGAAATAGCACCTGGTTTGCAACAGAGCTGTCTAACATGAAGTGGGTATTAACTGATTCATCAAGACCCAAAATTTGGAATATGAACAATCAATCCATCACCAAATGGAAATGGTACATACAGAGGTCAGGTTCGAATCAGTCATGAAGGCGTGAGTAAGTTGCATGAGAAGGTGGCTCGGGTTCTCTTGACACCAGTTCTTGCTGCACGGCTGTCTCACCTTTAATTTACACTTTTGGCCTCATAGAAAATTCTTTATGATAAGTTGACAGAGAAAGAAAAATAATGGGCTCATTTACAGATTGTCCTTTATGATATGCTGTCCTCAGCTAGAAGTTGGCCAATGTTGTACTATACCATCAAGAGTGTTCCTGAAAAACCGTAAAAGTAAATCCTCCCAATGGGCAGAACGTCAAGATGTACATCTGGTTTTCTGCCTCATATGGATAAAAAATAACCTGAGGTACAGATCCATACTAACATGGCAGTGGCTAATGATTAGACCATATGTTCAGATAGTTGACAAGAAATATTAAAGATTGTTTGAGACCAGCCTGGCCAACATGGAAAAACTCCTTCTCTACTAAAAATACAAAAATTAGCTGAGCATGGTGGTATGTGCCTGTAGTCCCAGCTACTTGGGAGGCTGAGGCAGGAGAATCGCTACAACCCAGGAGGCAGAGGTTGCAGTCAACCAAGATCATGCCACTGCACTCTAGCCTGGGTGACAGAGCAGGAACCTGTCTCAAAAAAAAATCTCCAGAAAGAAATATTAAAAGATTGGCAACAGAGAGTTACAAGTATGTGGGTGTACCTCTTGAAATGGACAAAATACGCAGATATCTGTGTCCCATTTGTTTATCCTGTAAAAGATATATAAAGGTGGCTCTCAATCATCAGGTGGACAAGATTATTTATTTTGGGAATGGCAGCCTCCCTGGCATGTACTTATATAAAAAGTATTTAGATACCATATACTTATATAAGTTATACATACAGACAGACTAGTATCTAATATATATAATATATAATCATATATAAGCACCATAAACGTATATATAAGGTAACCATGGAGACAGGAATGGAGACCATTTGTGGATTTGATAAGGTGGATTCCTCTTACCAAGGATGATCTACCTGCTGTCACTGCAGAATACCCAGTTTGCCAGCATCAGAGACCAATTCCAAAAGTCCACCATTCCCTAGTAGAACCAAGCTGCCATCTGGAAACAGGTTGAGGTGAATTATGTTGGATGGTTTTCATTCTGGAAGGATAAATTATTTGTTCTACTAGATTAGAATATATCTATTCCTGTGTGTGTGTGTGTGTGTGTGTGTGTGTGTGTGTGTGTGTGTGTGTGTGATTAGTCTTCCATCCCCATATTGTTTCTGCCAGAACCACCAAGTTCGTGGAATTAACTGGTCATATATTTATGTGCATATGTATATATCACACACCCCATCATGCAGAGCTGACAGAATATGGTATGGTCTAATTAAGTTTCAATTACAACACAAACTTGGAGACAAGCCCGGGATGTTTGGTGCTCTCTCATAGCTGTTGTTTGGACTTTGAGTCAGTGACCAGTATGTGATTCTCTCATAGAAGATAGGACAGTGAAAAAAATACATTTTAAAAAATGTAAATACAAGCCATCAAGGTACAAAAGACCAGTATTTAGAATGTTTAATAAACTACACTTTGATGAACAAAGGCAAATATATCAAATGGCAGAAAATTTAAACAGGCAAAAGAGGAAATCCAAATGGTCAAAAAAACATGAGCATGTGTTCAACTACATTAGTAATCAGAGAAATGCAAATCTAAACCACAATAAGATATTACTATACATTCATCAAACTGGAAGTTAAAAAAAAACTGACAGTGCAAATGTTGAACAGAATGTAGAGTAACAAGAACTCCTATACAAGGGAGTAAAATTTATACAACCACTTTGACAAGCAGTTTGTCAATCTCTAGTAAAGTTCTCTTTTTCCAGGCTTTTAAATTTAAACTTTTGATATTTTTGTCATTCAGATATGTCTCTTGTAAACGGCATAGCATGGAATTTTTTTTTTTAATCTAGCCTCATAACCTTTGTTTTTTGACTTTCATAGTTTCTGTTGAGTAGTCAATTGCTGTTCTTTTATTGCCTCTTTTTTTTTCTTTTTCCTTTTTTTTTGTGAGACAGGGTCTCACTGTGTCACCCAAGCTGGAGTTCAGTGGTGCAGTCTCAGCTCTCTGCAACCTCTGCCTCCCAGGCTCAAGTGATTCTTGTGCCTCAGCCTCCCCAGTAGCTGGGACCACAGGCATGTGCCAGCACGCCCTGCTAATATTTTGTTTGTTTGTTTGTTTGTTTTTGGTAGAGACAGAGTTTCACATGTTGCCCAGTCTGGTATTGAACTCCTGAACTCAAGCTATCCACCCGCCTTGGCCTTCCACAGTGCTGGGATTACAGGCATGAACCCCAGCACCCGGTCTTATTGCTCCTTTGATAGTAATCTGTTTTATTACCCCACATAGTAATCTGTTTTCTCCTCTTTTCAGCAGTTTTATTATGATGTTTAATTTAAAATTTCATTTATTTTACTTGGCATTTGTAGGGGTCCTTGAATAGTGCTGGTTTCATTTATCTCATCTGTAATGGAAAATTCTTAGCAAATATTTATTCAAATAATGCTTCTGACCCTTCTCTTGCTTCTTCAAATATTCCAGTTCCATGTATATTAGACTTTCTTTCTGTGCCCCCTTGTCTCTTACCCTGTTCTATTTTTTCTTTCTTTTGACTTTATAACTTCATTCTAGACATTTTCTTCTGAATTTTCTTCTAGTTTATTAGTGTTATCTTCAGCTGAGTCTAAGCTGCTGTTAGGCCTAACCATTTAGTTCTTAATTTCAGCTATTTTATTTTTCATTTATAGAAATTATTTTTGTGTTTTAAATAGCCTAGTTTCTGTGAAAATTCCCAATTTTGTCTTTCTTCTTTTTGACTATATTAAGCATATCTATTTTAAAGTCTGTATTTGGTAATTTCATTATCTAGGCCTCTGTGTAACTGTAGCAAGCGTACATTGTGTTTCATTCAAGTTTTCTTCATGTTATTTTTGTCTCTTTCTATGCTTATGTTTTAATTGAGTATTAAACATTGTATATAAAAAGTTACTGACATAATTTAGACATAGAAAAATGTTATCATCTTCCAGATAAGATTTATATTTGTTTCTGGCATGTGGCTAGTCAAAGTAGCAATCCTTTAAAAAAATTTTTTATTTTTAAATTTGTGGGCACATAGTAGGTATATATAGTTATGGGTTACATGAGATATCTTGATACAGGCATGCAATACACAATAATCACATCTGGTTAAATGGGGGTGTCTATCACCTCAAGCTTTTCTCCTTGTGTTACAAACGATTCAATTATACTCTTTCGGTTATTTTAAAATATAAAATTAAATTGTTTTTTACTATAATCACACTGCTGTGCTAGCAAATACTAGGTCTTATTCTTTCTTTTTCTGTATCCGTTAGCTATCTCTGCTTACCCACTACCACTGCCTGACTGCCCTCTCTGTCTCTGGAAACCATCATTTTATTCTCTATCTATATCAGTTCAATTGTTTTAAATTTTAGCTCCCACAAATAAGTGAGAACATGGCAGTTTGTGTTTCTGTGCCTAACTTATTTCACTTAACATAATGACCTCCAGCTCCATCTATGTTGTTGCAAATGACAGGATCTCATTCTTTTTTATGGCTGAATAATATTCCATTGTATATATGTATTTAACACATTTTCTTTATCCATTTGCCTGTTGATGGACACTTAGGTTGCTTCCAAAGCTTGGCTGTTGTGATTAGTGCTGCAATAAATGTGGGAGTGTATATATCTCTTCAATATAGTGATTTCATTTTGGGGGGCTGTATATATCCAGCAGTGGGACTGGTGGATCATATGGTAGCTTACTTTTGGTTTCTTGAGGAATCTTCAAACTATCCTCCATAGTAGTTATATTAATTTATATTTCTACCAACTGTATGAGAATACCCTTTTCTCCACATCCTTGTCAGCATTTATTATTGTCTGTCTTTTGGATAAAAGTGGTTTTAACTGGGGTGAAATGATAGCTCATTATAGTTTTGATTTGCATTTCTCTGAAGATCAGTAATGTTGAGTGCCTTTTCATTTACCTGTTTGCCATTTGTATGTCTTCCTTTGAGAAAAGTCTATTCAGATCTTTTTGCCCATTTTTTACTTGGATTATTAAATTTTGTTCCTATAGAGTTGTTTGAGCTTCTTATATATTCTGGTTATTATTCCTTCGTCAGATGGATCGTTTGCAAATATTTTCTCCCATAGTCTCTTCACTTAGTTGATTATTTCTTTTTCTGTGCAAACGCTTCTAACTTGATGCCCTCCAATTTGTCCATTTTTGCTTTGGTTGCTTATGCTGGTAGAGTGTTCCTCAAGAAATCTTTGTCCAGTCCAATGTCCTGGAGAGTTTCCCCAATGTTTTCTTGTGGAAGTTCATAGTTTGAGGTCTGAGGTTTAAGTGTTTAATCCATTTTGATTTGATTTGATTTTTGTAAATGGCAAGAGAAAGAGGTCTAGTTTCATTCTTCTGCATACAGATATCCAGTTTTCCCAGCACCGTTTATTGAAGAGACTGTCCTTTCCCCAATATGTGCTCTTGGCACCTTTGTCAAAATGAGTTCACTACAAATATATGGGTTTATTTCTATATTTTCTATTCTTTTCTACTGCTCTATGTGTCTGTTTTTATGCCAGTGCTGTGCTATTTGGTTACTATAGCTCTGTAGTGTAATTTGAAGTCAGGTTAATGTGATTCCTCCAGTTTTGTTATTTTTGCTTAGGATAGCTTTGGCAATTCTAGGTCTTCTGTAGTTCCTTATAAATTTTAGTATTATTTCTTCTATTTCTGTGAAGAATGTCATTGGTATTTTGAATAGGGATTGTGTTAAATCTGCAGATTGTCTTGAGTAGTATGGACATTTTAACAATATTGATTATTCCAATCCATGAATATGGAATATCTTTACATTTCTTTGTTTCCTCTTCAATTTCTTGCATCATTGTTTTATAGATTTCATTGTGGAGATCTTTAACTTACTTGGTTAAGTTAATTTCTAGGTATTTAATTTTATGTATGGCTATTGTAAACGGAATTCTTTATTGATTTCTTTTTCAGATTGTTCACTGTTGGCATATAGAAATGCTACTAATTTTTGTATGTTGGTTTTGTATCCTGAAACTTCCCTGAATTTGTTTATCAGTTCTAATAGTTTTTCAGTGGAGTCTTTAGGTTTTTCCAAATATGATAAGATCATGTCATCTGCAAACAAGGATAAATTGACTTCTTCCTTTCCAATTTGGATGCCCTTTATTTCTTTCTCTTGTCTGATTGCTGTAGCTAGGACTTCCAGTACTATGTTGAATAACAGTGGTGAAATTGGGCATCATTGTCATGTTCCAGATCTTAGAGGAAAGGCTTTCAGTTTTTCCTCATTCATTAGGATACTAGCTATTGGTCTGTCATATATGGCTTTTATTATGTCAAGGTATGTTTCTTCTATAGCCATTTTTTAGGGTTTTTATCCTGAAGGGATGTTGAATTTTATCAGATGCTTTTTCAGCATCAATTGAAATAATCATATGATTTTTGTGCTTCATTCTGTTGATATGATGTATCACATTGATCGATTTGCATGTGTTGAACCATCCTTGCATCCCAGGAATAAATCTCACTTGTTAATGATGAATGATCTTTTTAATGTATTGTTGAATTTGGTTTGCTAGTATTTTGCTAAGGATTTTTACATCAATATTCATCAGTGATATTGGCCTGTAGTTTTCTTTTTTTTGATGTGTCTTTGGTTTCAGTATGAGGGTAATATTGGCTTTGTAGAATGAATTTGGAAGTATTCCCTCCTTCACCTTTTTTGAATCAGCTTGAGTAAGATTGATATTAGTTCTTTAAGTGTTTGGTAAAATTGAGCAGTTCAGCCATTGGGTCCTGGGCTTTTCTTTGTGGGAGACTATTTATTACAGCTTCAATGTCATTACTTGTTATTGGTCTGTTCAGGTTTGGGATTTCTTCACAGTTCAATCTTGGTAGGTTTTATGTGGCTAGGAATTTATTCATGTCTTCTAGATTTTCCAATTTATTTGCATATAGTTTCTTATAGGAGCCACCAATTATCCTTTGAATTTCTGTGGTATTGGTTGTAATGTCTCTGTTTTCATGTCTGATTTTATTTATTTGGATCTTCTCCCTTTTTTCTTTAGTCTGGCTAAAGGTTTGTCATTTTGTTTATCTTTTCAAATAACCAGCTTTTTGTCTCACTGATCTTTTGTATTTTCTTTATTTCAGTTTTATTTATTTCTGCTCTAATCTTTCTTTTTTTTCTACTAATTTTGCAAAAGCAAACCAAAGCCAAGTTATTTAAGATACGTTGTTATGTTGTTTATTTAAGATACATTGTTATGTCGTTTATTTGAAGTTTTTCTTCTTTTTTGACATAGGCACTTATAGCTATAAATTTCCCTCTTAGTACTGCTTTCACTGTATCCCATAGGTTTTAGTATGTTGTGTTTCCATTTTTATTTGTTTCAAGAAATTTTTCAATTTCCTTCTTAGTTTCTCCATTTACCCACTGATCATTCAGGAGCATATTGTTTAATTTCCATGTGTTTGTGTAGTTTCCAAAATTCCTCTTGTTATTGATTTCTAGTTTATTGTGGTCAAAGAAGATACTTGATATTTGTTCAGCTTTTTGGAATGTTTTAAGACTGGCTTGGCGATCTAACATGTGGTCTGTCTTTAAGAATGATCCACGTGCTGAGGAAAAGAATGTGAGTTCTGCAGCCATTGGATGAAATAGTCTTCAAATATCTTTGAGGTTCATGTGGTCTGTAGTGCAGATTAAGTCTGATATTTCTTTGTTGATTTTCTGTCAGGAAGATCTGTCCAATGCTAAAAGTGAGGTACTGAAGTCTCCATGTATTATTGTATTAGGGTCTATCTCTCTCCCTGTAGCTCTAGTGATATTTGCTGTATATATCTGTGTGCTCCAATGTTGGGTGCATGTAATATTTACAGTCGTTATATTCTCTTGCCAAATTGATCCTTTAATCATTATATAATGATCTTCTTTATCTCTCTTTGTAGTTTTTGACTTGAAATCTGTTTTGTCTGATGTAAGTATAGCTACTCATGTCCCTTTTTGGTTTCCATCCGCATAGAATATCTTTATCCATCCCTTTATTTTCTATCTGTATGTGTCTTTACAGGCGAAGTGTGTTTCTGGTAGGCAACAGAACATTGGGTCTTTTTTTAATCAATTCAGCCATTCTGTCATTTTTTTTTCATCAACATTTGTTTTAAGTTCTGGGGTACGTGTGCAGTATGTGCAGGTTTGTTACATGGGTAAACGTGTGCCATCATGGTTTGCTGCACAGATCAACCCATCACCTAGGTATTAAGCTCAGCATTCATTAGTTATTCTTCCTGATGCTCTCCCTCCCCCTAACCCCTCAACAGGTCCCAAAGTGTGTTGTTCTCCCCCACCATGTGTCCGTGTGTTCTCATTATTCAGTTCCCACTTATAAGTGAGAACATGCAATGTTTGGTTTTCTATTCCTGTGTTAGTTTGCTGAGGGATAATGACTTCCAGCTCCACCCATGGCCCTGCAAAGGACATGATCTCATTCCTTTTTATGGTTAGATAGTATTCCATGGCATATATGTACCATATTTTCCTTGTCTGGTCTATTGTTAATGGGCATTTGGGTTGATTCCATGTCCTTACTATTGTGAATAGTGCTGCAATGAACATACATGTGCATATATCTTTATGACAGAATGATTTCTATTCCTTTGGGCATATACCCAGTATTGGGATTGCTGGGTCAAATGGTATTTCTGCTTCTGGATCTCTGAGGAGTTGCCACAGTATTTTCCACAATGGTTAAACTAATTTACGTTCCCACCAACAGTGTAAAAGTATTCCTTTCTCTTCACATGCTTGCCAGCCTCTGTTGTTTCTTGACTTTTTAATACTTGCCATTCTGACTGACATGAACTAGTATCTCATTGTTGTTTTGATTTGCATTTCTCTAATGATCACTGACGCTGAGCTTTTTTTCATATGTTTGTTGGCTGCATGAATGTCTTCTTTTGAGAAGTGTCTGTTCATATCCTTTGCCCACTTTTTAAAGGGGTTTTTTGGTTTTTTCTTGTAAATTTGTTTAAGTTCCTTGTAGACTTT